>NC_000005.10:24853275-25156305 GCF_000001405.40 Homo sapiens | reverse complement strand
ATTGATATCCTGTTCATCTCCTTTTCTTTACTGTGTTTCCATCTCTTCCACGAACTTGGCCACTGTAGCAGCTATTCTAGATTTTCCCTCTTGTGAAATAAACCAAGCATGTTTGCTTAGTCCTAGTCTATTTTTGATGCAATAATTGCTTATTCAATCTCACTGCCAGGGACACATCAGTCGATCCCCTGAGATCTAGAGATAATGACCTGCCTTGATTCTATAGAATTATAATTAGAGAAAATTGTTCATCTTAGTATTTCAAAATAATGATGCATAATTTTGTCTTCCAATGTAGTAATTCATTCATCTTATTCAGGTCTACTGGCATAAGAAAACTAATACAAAAATTGGTCATTCCTACTTTTACTTTTTTGGTTTCTCAAACTAACTACCCTTGTATACAGTATATTTTGCATCCTAGAGACTGGCACCCACTGCAGTGTACCTTCCCTGAGCTGACATCCCTGCTGAAACTTTAGTATACCATTTCATTATCTTATTAGGCTGGGTGTTGCTGATAAATATAATATATGGTTGGAACTGAAGACCCCCATCATTCTATGCTTATTGTTTTACCTCTTCTACCATAAAAATGCATTACTTGGCCTCAAGTGATATTATGCAGGACATTACATAATTAACTTATGCTTTCAGTAATTAGGCTTTCTGTAGGCCCCCAAATCATAGTATTAGCCAAGGCATTGTGAACAAAAAATATAAATACATTTTAAAATAAGAGTTTGTTCAGCAAAGATGAATTATGACCCACTTCTAGAATTGAAAATGTCCAGTAACTGACTTATTCTAAGTGGTTGCTTGCTCTAATGTAATGAATGGAACGTTATCAAAGGCTTAATCCCAGTCTCTACTGCTTACAGGTTGGGCACATAGCTTCAGTTGTCCAGTGGACAATGTTATGCATGATCTCAGGCAAGCATTGAAGCAAAAGAAAACCAAAGATGTGCATAATTTATTTCTATTTTTCTAGGTCCATCCACATGTCCCTTCTTTGTACATCTGATCTTTCTGTCTTACTCCATCCAGGTCTATGTGCAATCAGGTCAGCCATTCACCTATATCCAAGCATTTAAACACATTGTAATTCCAATAGATTTTCTACCACATAAATGGAAATCCAAATGTGATGCTCATAGCTTGGCCCACGAGGAGGATTACCCTTTCACCAAAGTCCTTTAAGGCTAATTCTCATTATGATTGTGTGTGCTAATGGTCCATTTATCATCTAGCACTATTATATTCAATTAATCCATCCACAAACCAGGTACAAAACTTTTCCTTCTTCATTAGTTGATCAAAATGAATTCTCCATGAGGTCATGGTGTGATCAGAGGAAGGGATTACAAAGAAACAATGGCTGGTGACATGAGGGTCTAGATCATGAGTGCCTCTGGATATACTTTGAGAAGATCCAAAATGCATTATTTTATTATGGGATAGACTGATTCTTGGTGCATGATGGAAGCCTTTGTCTCATAATCTCTTGATATTCTAAGATCCAGCACTCAGTCTCTTCTAAGGTCTTGTAGCACATCAGAAGCAGCATTTCAAATAGCAAGGCATTATCTGCTGCAGAGAACATGGCCTTGATAATGAACCCCAGTGGTTTCTGCTGCAACTCTTCTACAGGGGGTTTCTCACAGGGTCTTGGCCACCATGTGTACCTCTAGCACCATACTATATCCTAAGGGGAAGGGCCATTTTCACTGTAACCTAAACCTGCTGCAAAGCCCTCTTCTTCCAAATGACCCACTTAAAAAATATTTTCTTCCAAGTAATCTAATATAGAAGTTATTATTTTGTTTTGTTTTGCTTTTTTTGTTTTTTTGTTTTGTTTTTTTTGACAGAGTCTTGCTCTGTCGCCCAGGCTGGAGTGCAGTGGCACAATCTCGGCTCACTGCAAGCTCCGCCTCCCGGGTTCACGCCAGTCTCCTGCCTCAACCTCTCAAGTAGCTGGGACTACAGGCAGCTGCCACCACACCCGTCTAATTTTTTGTATTTTTTAGTAGAGACGGGATTTCACCATGTTAGCCAGGATGGTCTCGATCTCCTGACCTCGTGATTCTCCCGCCTTGGCCTCCCAAAGTGCTGGGATTACAGGCGTGAGCCACCACGCCTGGCCCTAATATAAAAGTTTAAGCAACATTCCCAAAAGCTACAGATGCTGTTTCCAACAGCTAAATATATTTACAAAATCTTGTATCTATTTCCTAGTAGTAGGTTATGCAAAGTGTATAATATAAACTTTACCTTAGAATGGATGCCCCAGAATGCCAGAGACTGTTGGACCCTGAAGTTTTGCTCTCATCTATGTTATTGTTGTAGCTTGCTAAGACATTCAGGGCACTTGCCACTTTCTATTCACTAGGTTCAGTTAGCACAATGCCATCAATTTATTGGATTATCATAGCATTTCCCAGAATGGAAAGTTGATCAAGTCCTTTGTGGACTATACTCTGTTGGAGTGCAGAGGAATTGACATATACCTAAGACCTAGGAGAAGATGTGTGTTTGCACACTTTTCCTGTGCTCCTGCTAATACTGTCTTTCCACATACACATAAAATGTTTTTAAAAATCTACTAAGATCAAGAAGGACAAAAGAACATATTTTCCAGACTATTGCCACATATAAAGTACTAAAATTGATCTGTTCCAATAAAAATCCCAAATCTAGTATAAGAGTAAATTAGATTCACCCTTGGTTAAGTTTACAGCAGTCCACTGTCATCTACCAGCTCTTTATTTTTTTGCAGCGACCCTTACAGTTAAATTAAACAGGGGAATAAAGAGAATAACTACCACCACCAATTCTTTAATTGTTTGAAGGTAGTATGAATCTCTGTAATTTAATTCTGATATTAAATATTGTTTCTGATTTATTGCCCTGGCTAGGAAAGTGTTGGGGAAGCTTCAAGGATTTATATTTGATCATACTTAACGTGCAATACATAATGAATCCTATGATTACATATTACTACAGAAATCAGGTAACCAATGTGCAGGTTCTTTGAGTAACTAAGTCTATCCATCTCAACTGTGCACTCAGCATCTGGGGAGATAACTGTGGACTGGAATCTGATTTCAATCATGTGTCTGTTAAGTACTTGTTCTTCATGAGCACTCAATCTAATTGAAGAGGGAATTTTGGTATGCTTGTATCAATATAACCTCAGACTTCAAGTCCAACAGCTCTTAAAAGTTCTGGATAGTGTTCTTTTCTTTGTATACATTCACTATGGTACATGGCTGTAGGTTCTTAATATTTGTTATTGATACTTATACTGTCATTGTAGAGTCCTTCCTCAAGTTTGTTATGACTCCACTTCAACAGATGGGCTCTGGTTCTGAGAACCAGCTCAGACTGGGTAGGTGGGTGAGAAATTGTGGGTTTTCATCACAGTAGCTAATGCCAGTCTTCTGCTTGCTAGTTCAGGATTTATTCTAATTGCAAAACCAGAAACACCCTGATTGCCTATCCATTTCACCCCTAGGAAAATCACAGTCTGTTATATATCATAAGAGACTCTCACATAAAAGACATCCTGCTTGTCCCTCTGGCATTGCTGCTAAATTCAGTTACCATACCCACATTATTTCTAATGAATAGATGTCACCACCTAATCTGAGATATTTGAGAATAATATTGTCTCATTAGCATTTGGCAGACTAGTTTCATGGCACCTTTTCCTACTAACAACTCTGGCCAAATCATGACAACAGTCACTGAGACGTTGGATGTCCTAATCGATAGTGCATGCTAATAGCCTTTGTGAAATGAGGACAGCATCTCCAACTCATCTACTAAAAGCCATCTCAGCAGCAACATTTAAAAAATTCCTCTCCTGGTGTTCTTGTCTGAACCTTAAGTTTGGATTCACAGGAAAATGATTATCTCAGCCACAACTCCCACTTCTGGTCAAAAATTCTCAAAATTCGCTCCCACACACTTTCCCTCTTCTGCTAATATGTGTTTGCCAGGACTTACAAATCTTCAGGGAGTAATCTGACTCTAGTGATTGGTCTGGAAGTCTTAAGAGAGATAGGAACAGGGTAAGAGGAGGACAAGCATCATCTTCAGGAACTTCTGCCCAGATTAGCATTTCTAATGTCTCCAGACAATGAGTGGCTACTGTTCTCCTATAAGAAGAGGATTTTGTTTGTTTGCTTTTGTTGATCTGGATGTTTTAGGAGAACTTTAGAATTAGGGGGTTTTTGTGACCCCTTCAGAACATCCCCATTAGATGTCTAAGGGAACTACTCCTGCCTAGGAGGCCCCTGATTTTAACATAGGAGTCACGTTGAGCTTGGCATACACTTCCTTTGGCAACTCTGCAGGCCTTAAAATTAAGTTGTGTGTCTGGTTTTTAATAATCTGCCTTGTGATTGTAAAAGACGAGGGACTCTGTAAACTGTCATGGAGGGATTCTGGATTTCACTGGCAACTTTGAGATAATAGTTGGCTGACATGAATCTGCCACTTGCTTTTTTCAAGGCTTTTAAGGTAAGTTGACAAAAATTATCTAATTCTACAATATTTATAATTCCCATTGCTCTAAAATTGTTAAACTGTTAGAGTTTCTGGACAACCCAAAACTTTTCTTCCATATGTGATTCGATGGACTAAAATTTAAAGTCTTTGTAATGTTGAAATAATAGCATAACAGAAGAGGCGTCACTACTCACTTATTAACAATAATAGGAACCTGTTGTCATCTAGCCAGTAAGGTCCAGTTCCAGAATTCCATAATGATGGTCTCTTTCCTAAAACTAGTTTATTGCCACTTATTTTAGCTTGGGTTCCCGACAGTAATTTATGAGACAATGACTTGGGTGCATATCTCAGTCCCACATCACCTATTTGTTTGAATTTGGAAGGTGATCCATATAGGAATGAGGAAATAGAAAGACTGAGAAAAGGCATAATACAAAGCTAATATTAGGTTGTATCTTGGGGATTTTTTTTTTTTTTGGCTTTGGAAAGAATAGCTCAATTCTTGTAAAACTATGGAAGCATAAAGAATGACCTTAAAAATTGCCCATCCTTAGGACAAGTCCTGGACCTACATCCACTGGCTCCTATCCTCTGTTAGTTGAGGATTTCCCTGGAAAACTTAACTTTCTTATGCTTCAGTGTTGATCAAGTAGGCTCCCTAGACTTTGGAAAAGACTGTGAGATTAAAAAAAAAAAAAAAGCAAGAAATTGATGGTAAGAAGTAGAAGTAAAGTAGTGTCAAAATGATTGAGCTCACAGGAAGTTGTGCAATGTAGCTGGGGCTGATCCCAGGGCAGTCTTAGAGATGTGAGGAGATACAAAAAGTAACATTTTTGCATGGCAGTTGCAATCCAGAGAGCAATTAATTATAAGTCCATCTCTCGTTTACTAAAAGTATGTAATTTTTGTTTGAGTATTTTAGTCTTAGTTTGAATTTGATCAACATACTTTATCAAAAATATATGTACAACTAATAAGACAACTATACATTTTTCTTTTAAATGAATGCTATGGTGCATTATATCACCACAATTACTAATGACAATATGTCATAATCAAAGTGAAGACAACCTGAGAATTATGTACTAGTGTTGAGTCTATAAGAGTGTCATTGTGAAAATATTTTAAAATGATTTCTTCATTAATATAATTTTGTAACACTTATCAGCACTTTCTTGGTTTTTGTTTTATTTGTTGTTGTTTGTTTGTTTTTGTCACACTTTTAGTAACAGAACCATGGCTTTGGAAAAGGTAATGCAAAAATATCTTATTGCCTGAAATGGTAGGTGGTAAAAGTGAATATAATAAAACTCCTCAGGATATTTTCAGTGTCTTTAATCAATATACATAGCTTTCTTATTGCCTTTCAGTATATTTTGATACTATATATTTTTATTTGAAAACATTAATTTCATTTGTTTTATGAACACTATTTTTAAAGTGTGTAAGCGGCTCATTTATTTTACTTTTTTCTAGGTGTTTCTGATTTTTCTTTGCTTTCAATTATAATTAATTTAATTTCATTTATAATTAATTCTATTTGTGTTTTTATTTCACTTCATTTTGTATTACTGCATTTTTTTGTGGAGGAGACAAAAATTTAGGTTTTCAGATGGTTAGATTTTGGCATTTATTTAGCAGTTTAGTTATTGAGCATTTACTTAGTAATGGACTTTTAACATTTCATTCATTTCTAATTTTATTTTTATTCATCCATAGATTATTCTTTATGATGTAATTGTTTATAATTTTTAACTATTTTGGAAAAAATTTCATATATGTTTTCCCATTTTGGTGTATTTAGAAATTTTAGATATTATGGCTATATATTTTTTTCTGAGTGAAGATTTAGCCTTAATACATGGCTATGTAGCTAGTGATTTTAAATTGTAATGTTTTTAAATCTTAAATTTTATCTTTTAATTATTTTTAACAAAAATATTAAAATTATTTTGTGCATATGTCTGTGTGTGATGGAATTTTTTAGTTTCAAAAATAGTTATTTCTTTGTTTACTTTTAATTTTCAGATTTAGCCTCTTTGGTTCAAGGGCAAATTTCAATATTTCTAATATTCATGTGCTCTATTTATTATTTATTTATGTAAACATTTTTACAGTTATTTTTATTTATTTAAAGTGTATATATTTTTAATTGTATTCATTGATTGAAGTAAGATATGCATATAATATAAAATTTTCCATCTTTACCACTTCATGTGTATACTTCAGTGGTAACAAATACATTTATATTCTTTTTTCCCTCAATTTCCCTTTCTCCTTAGCCTTCTTAGACTCGTAACCATCATTCTACTCTCTAGCTTCATGAGGTCCACTTTTTTAGATCTGACATATGAGTGATAGTACACAATATTTGTCTTTCTATGCTTAGCTTACTTCTCTTAACATAGCATAGTGGCCTTCAATTTCATCCATTTTGTTGCAAATCATAGAATTTTATTTTTTCATGGCTAAATAATATTCCATTGTCTTTATGTACTACATTTTCTTTATCCATTCATCCATTGATGGACACTTTGGTTGATTCCCTATCTTGGCTATTGTGAATAGTGCTGCAATAAACATGGGAGTGCAGCTATCTCTTTAATATACTGATTTCTTTTCTTTTGACTATATACTCACTAGTGGAATTGCTGGATTATATGGTAGTTCTATTTTCAGTTTTTTGAAGAACATCTATATTGTTCTCCATAATGGTGGTACTAAAATACATTCGCACCAATAATGTAAGATGGTTTCCCTTTCTCCATATCCTAACCTACATCAGTTATTGTCTGTGTTTTTGATATGGTACATTTTAAGACAGGCAACATCATATCACATTGTGGTTCTGATTTAAATTTCTCTGATGATTAGTGATGTTGAGTGTTTTTTCATATACTTATATTAGGTATTAGTATGTCTTCTTTTGAAAAAAAGTCTATTCAGAAATTTAGCCCATTTTTAAGTTGGATTATTTGAGTGCTTTTGCTTTTGTTTTTTTGCTGTTGAATTGTTTGAGCTCTTTATATATTCTGGTTACTAAGCCCTCATCAGATAGATACTTTGCAAATATTTTCTTTCGCTTTGTAGGTTGTCCCTTCACTTTCTTGGTTGTTTCCTTTTCTGTGTGTAAGCTTTTTAGTATCCTTTTTTTTTTTTTTTTTTTTTTTTTTCCTTTGATTGACTGTGCTTTTGAAGTCTTACACACAAAAAATTTTTCCCAGGCCAACAACCTGCGGCACTTCCCCTGTGTTTTCTTCTAGTAGTTTCATAGTTTAAGGTCTTAGATTCAAGGCTTTAATCCATTTTGATTTCATTTTTGTGTATAATGAGGAACAGTGGTCTAGTTTTATTCTTTTGCACATAGTTATCTAGTTTTCCCTGCACCATTTATTGAAGGGACTTAATTATCCCTATTATATGTTCTTGGTGTCTTTGTCCAAGAAGAGTTGGCTGTAAATGCATAGATTTTTATTTGAGTTCTCTATTCTGTCCCATTGGTCAATGTGTCTGTTTGATGACAGTACCATGCTGTTTCAATTTCTACAGACTTGTAGTAAATTTTGATGTTAGTTGCTTTGATGCTTCCAGCTTTGTTCCTTTTTCTCAAAGATATTTTGGCTATCTGGAGTTTTGGTAATTCCAGATAAATTTTAGAACTTTATTAATAATTTCTGTGAAGAATATTATTATTTTGATAGGTAATGTATTAAATCTATACATTGTTTTGGGTAGTTTTGTCATTTTAACAATATTAACTTTGTTACATTCTATGAGCATGAAATTTCTTTTTGTGATTTTTAATTTCTTTCATCAGCATTTTATAGCTTTCTTTGTATAGATCATTCATTTTTTTGTTAGGTTTATTTGAAGTATTTGATTTTTTGTAGCTATTGTAAATGGGATTACTCTCTTGATTTCTTTTCACATTGTTTGTAGTTGCCATATGTAAATGCTACTGATTTTTGTAAGTTGATTTTTTTTATCTTGCAACTTTACTGAATTTGTTCATCATTTCTAAAAATTTTTAGTGGAGTCTTTAGGTTTCTGCAAGTATAAGATCATGTCACCTGAAAACAGAGATAATTTGAATTTTTCCTTTCCAATTTGGATGCCTTTTATTTCTTTCTCATACCTAATTGCACCGGCCAGAGCTTCCAGTACTATATTAAATGAAAGTGGTAAAAGTAGGCATCCTTGCTTTGTTTCAGTCCTTAGAGGAAAGACCTTCAATTTTGCCCCATTCATTATGATGCTAGTAGTGTCTTTGTCATATATGATATTTATTATTTTGAGGTATTTTCAATCCGTAACTATTTTGGTGAGGGTTTTTGTCATATAAAGGGATGTTGAATTGTATCAAATGCTTTTTTGGCAACTATTGAAATAATTATGTAGTTTTGTTCTTGATTCTGTTAATATCATGTATTATGTTTATCGATTTGCATATGTTAAAACATTTCTGCATCCCTGGGAGGAATCCCACTTGATCATGGTGTATTATCTTTTTAATGCGTCTTTGAATTCAGTTTGCTAGTATTTTACATCTATGTTCATCAGTGATTGCATCAGTCCGTTTTCACACTGCTATAAAGAATACCTGATATTGGGTACTTTATAAAGAAAAGAAAGTTTAATTAACTCACAGTTCCCCATGTCTGGAGAGCCTCTGGAAACTTACAATTATGGCAGGAGGGGAAGCAAGGCACATCTTATATGGTGGCAGAAGAAAGAGAGCACTCGGGAGGAAGTGCCACACTTTTAAACCATCAAAACTCATGAGAACTCATTATCACAAGAACGGCATGGAAAAAAATCTGCCCCTCATGATCCAATCAACTCCCATCAGACCCTTCCCTAAGCACATGGGGATTACAATTTGAGATGAGATTGGTTGGGGACACAGAGCCAAACCGTATTAGTGATATTGGCCTGTAGTTTTCTTGTTTGTTGTATGTCCCTTTCTGGTGTTGGTATCATGGTAATTCTGGACTCACAGAATGAGGCTGAAAGTTATTCCCTTCTCTTCAATTTATTTGAAGAGTTTGAGTAGGATTGGTATTAGTTTATCTTCATATGGTTGGTAGAATTCGGCAATAAAACCATCAAGTTCTGAGCTTTCTTTTTTTTTTTTTTTTTGAGACTCTTTATTATAGTCTTAATCTATTGCTCGTTTTTGGCTTGTTGAGATTTTCCATTTTTTCATGGTTCAATCCTGGTAGGTTTTATGTATCTAGGAATGTATCCATTTATTTTAGGTTTTCCAGTTTGTTAGTGTATACTTGTTCACAATAGCCTCTAATGGTTTTTTGTATTTCTGAAATCTCGGTAATTATGCCTTCTTTAATTGTTTTTCACTTTATTTACTTAGGTCTTCTCTCTTTTTTTCTTAGTCCAACTAACAATTTGTCAATTCTATCTCTTCAAAGGACCAACTTTCCATTTCAAGAATCTTCTGTATTATGTTTCTAGACTTAATTTCATTTATTTCTACTCTGATCTTTATTATATCTTTCCTTCTACTAATTTTGGATTTGGTTTGTTTTTGCTTTTCTAGTTCCTTGAGGTGTTATTGTTAGCTTGTTTATTTTTACTTTTTGATATAGGCATTTATTGCTATAAACTTCCCTGTCAGTTCTGCTTTTGCCATATCGCATAGATTTTCTTATGTTGTATATCCATTTTCATTTGTTTCAAGATATTTTTAAAAATTCCTTCTATTCATATCTGGATTAGATAAATTTTAGTATTAGTACAGTGTTAGCCTCTAAGTGTTATTATTCTTTGTTTTATTTAACGTATTAATATAAGCTCTAATCCCCAAATCTTTGACATTTTGGTACTATGTTTATGTATATTATGTGTACCTGTGTCTTAGTCTATTTTGTGCTGCTATAACAGAATACCACAGACTGGTAAATTCATAATGAACACAAATTTATTGCTTTATGGCTCTGGGGGATGGGGCATCTAAGATTAAGCTACCAGCAGCTGTCAAGGGACTTCTTACTGTGTCATGCCATGGCAGAAGGGCAAGGATGGGGTGGGGGAGAGAGAGAAAAGACAGAACTGAAATATTCATCTATAAGGAACGCACTCTTTAATTAACAGCATCAATCCATTTATGAAGGTAGAATCTTCACAGACTTCTGAAAGGTTCTACCTCTTAATACTCTTACAATGGAAACTAAACTTCAACATGAATTTGAGAGGAGACAAACATTCAAACCACAGCAATGTGTTGCTGTTCTTGTTTTTTCTTTTTCCTCTTGAAACGATAATGGTAATGGAGATAATAAAATGTAGAAAATTATTGAAAATATATTATAGAAAATTACTCCTCTGGCATTATTCTAATTTTTCCAGGAGAGAAAAAATATATTTTATTATAATAATTTAGCATTTTATTCAGCATCTGGGGGATTATAAGTTATCAATCATGTGGCAAAATCAAAAGTACATTATTATGATTCTTCTGTAGGAGATATCAGACTGAGAGGTTTTTGTGTATTTGTTGTTTATTGGTGTTTTTTTTTTTTTACCTTGTTTCTTTAGTGATGTGGAGTGCTACGGGCTACTTATTTTACCTCCAATTCATATGTTTAAATTTTAACACTCAGAGGGATTGTATTAGGTGGAGCTCTTGGATATTGACTAGGTCATGATGAGATGAACACTCATTAAGGAGATAAGTACCTTTATAAAGGAGGTCCTAGAGAACTTCCTCATCCCTTCTCTCATATGAGGGAAAAAGACAGCCACCTATAAAGAGCAAAAAGACAGCTACCTATAAACAGGAAGAGGGCCCTCAACAGACTCTGAATCTGCTGGCATCTTGATCTTAATCTTCTCAGCTTCCAAAATTATAACAAATAAGTGTTTGTTGTTTAAGCCACCCAGTCTATGGTATTTTGTAATTGATGCCTGAACGGACTAAGACAGGAAAGTTGTCTAATCACCTTTTTCTCTTCAATACACATCTTAATTGTAGTGAAGGAGTCATTTGTCTGATGAGAATATATGGACACATAGAGGGGAACAGCCTACACTGGGGCCTTCTAGAAGGTTGAGACTAGAAGGAGGGAGAGGATCAGGAAAAATAACTATGGGAGTTAGGCTTAATACCTGGGTGATTAAATAATCTGTGCAACAAACCCCCATGTCATAAATGTACCTATGTAAGAAATCTGCACTTATATCCCTGAACTTAAAATAAAATTTAAAAAAATAAGAAGTGATTTTGGCTGGGCACAGTGGTTCACATCTGTAATCCCAGCCCTTTGGGAGGCCAAGGTGGGCAGATTGGTTGAGCTCAGGAGTTAGAGGACAGCCTGGGCAATATGCAGAGACCCCATCTCTATTGAAAAAAAAAAGTCATTTGTCCAGTCTATAATTTATTTTTTAAATTTAGTTTTTGAATTTATTTGACTTGCTGATAATTTTTTTTATATACTTTAAGTTCTAGGGTACATGTGCACAACGTGCAGGTTTGTTACATATATATATATATGTGCCATGTTGGTGTGCTGCACCCATTAACTCATCATTTACATTAGGTATACCACTGGTTCCTCCTCCTCCTCCTCCTCCCCTCTTCCTCCTCCTCCTCCTTCTTCTTCTTCTTGCCTGTTGTTGAAAACAAGTAAAATCTTTAAGAACCATTCAGTCAAAGAGTTGTCAAAAGCTAGTTGGCCATACTTTTTTTTTTTTAACTACATATACTTCCAAAGGAAACGTTATAAAATGGATAACATTTGTTTAGACACATGACAATGGAAGAGTTGATTTATAATAAGCACCTTATTTTATGTTTATGTAATGCAAAATACATCACTTACAGAAAACACACACATTCACCTCAAATTCTGTTTAATTACATTTCCTGATTCATAATGCCTTTCATTTTAGCAGATTGTTTAACAGTTTTGAAATTTTAAAAAAGTGTTCCATTGAAAGTTGATCATACTTTATAAAAATTAAAAAAATATACAGAATATTAAGAATGTTCACTGCCCAATAGTGTGAAAGTCACCTGCAATTGCAATTAAAATTTCATGGTTATACTTTTGTTTTAACTGGATATTGAATGCTAATCTTCACATATATTGTATTCTACTAAAAATTTTTATACTCATAATTTGGGAATCTTATAAAAAGTATTATAATAAAACTTAAAATATTCTTTCACAATTGGGAATGAACACTAAGTGGGTAAATTGGTATCGAGGCAGGATGGGGAATAAAGAGAGGTTGCTGTCCTGGTAGAATTGCCCTGGATTTACGTCTCCCATGTGGCAATGTTTAATAAGACTTTCTCTTAAAAATACTATTTTGATACTAATCCCTTAAATATCATTTATACAACAGGGAAAAATGGATGAGCATAGCATAAGAATAAATGGCAGCTATTGCGATAATCAACTGGGAAAAGAAAAACAAATTAAACCTAATTTTCTAACACTGTCTAATTGCAATTATATTTTTAAAAAGGTGCTTAACTATATCAATATGTTGTAATTAGACTAAGAAATGGAGGAGGGAATTAATGACAGAGAATAAATGTATAAAATTTCTAGTTCTTAACTTTGATCATGTATAAGAATCACCTGTAGGTTTTCTTTCTCTCTTGCTCTTGCTCTCTGTCTGCAAAAGAAGAGTGAAGAAGAGTAACTTAGACCCCATGGATGATGTTATTTTTCTTATAAAAAATCAATTTATTAAAATCTCTGGAAAATAAACTTGGGAGTTCACGTACACAACCACATGCAAAGGAGTTACTTGTATATTTTTCTCTAACATGTAAGTTGATGCCTACTGAGAAAATGAGATTTTTCTATTCATGCAGGAAGTTTATGTTTGATATTTCAACTCAATCAATTGTAATTAAATTGAGACTAATTAAAATGGGAAATCAAAAACAAGTGAATTGACAAGTTGAATCATTCCCATAAGATTAAGAAGAAATTTAAAATTAAAAGTAATTTTCTCAGGCAAAGAGAAAATTATCATCATTATAGGTCAATTACCTAAGGCATTCTTGAGTACTTTTATTGTAAGAAATAATGAACATAGGGGTCCGCATTGTTAAGATTACAAAAAGGAAAAAAAAATGGCCAAGAAATTAATTTTAACTTTTGGTTCCTATAATTATGAATATAGTACATATTTATTAAACAATAATCTACCCATGGAGATGTGCCTAAGGCATCTGCAATTGTGGCAGAATTAAAGAGCTGGTGATATGAGGTATTTGTAATTGAAAAACATAATTTTAATTTATAGATATTCAGATATGTCTACATCAATCATTTTTAAGTAAATATAGAAGCATGTTTGCTTTGTTTTCCACTGACCTTAAGAGTAAAAACAAGGCCGGGCGCGGTGGCTCACGCCTGTAATCCCAGCACTTTGGGAGGCCGAGGCGGGCGGATCACCAGGTCAGGAGATCGACACCATCCTGGTTAACACAGTGAAACCCCGTCTCCACTAAAAATTAGCTGGGCGTGGTGGCAGGTGCCTGTAGTCCCAGCTACTCGGGAGGCTGAGGCGGGAGAATGGCGTGAACCTGGGAGGCAGAGCTTGCAGTGAGCAGAGATCCAGCCACTGCACTCCAGCCTGGGCGACAGAGCAAAACTCCGTCTCAAAAAAAAAAAAAAAAAGAGGAAAAGCAAGGGTCCTGATTTTTGGTTCTCTACCATGTTGAAAAATTACATGTGAGTTTTTTAAGTGAAAAAAATAGTAAGCAGAGCCATATAAATTTGCTAGTTTTATAAATTGAAATTGATCAAATAGTACCAATTTTATTTTATTTAACCTATACTATCGAATTCAATTTGTCTAATCTCCCCCAAACGACAACAGGGGCCCAGAAAAGATTCGAATTTTTTCTGAGGTTGACAGTAATTCAATAACAGGGTGGAAATAGAAGCAGGACATTTTGACGTCTATTAAAATACTCTGGCTTATTCCACAAAATATCAAGTAAAAACTTGTTTATAAATCATATGCTGGAGTGAATACCTATGAGTTTGTGTGCATAAAAAATATGCTGGGAATTTTTAGACAGCTAATCTATTTCTACGTCAGGATAAATTTTTCTTAAGCCTAAGGATATAAATTCAGGTGGGGCCACATGCCTCCTTCTTTTTTTTTTTTTTTTTTTTTTTCCAGAGTCTTGCTCTGTTGCCAGACTAGAGTGCGGTGGCACAATCTCGGCTCACGGCAACCTCCACCTCCCGGGTTCAAGTGATTCTCCTGCCTCAGCCTCCTGAGTAGCTAGGATTACAGGCGCCTGCCACCACGCCCGGCTAATTTTTTGTACTTTTAGTAGAGACGGGGATTCACCATGTTGGCCGGGATGGTCTCTATCTCTTGACCTCGTGATCCACCCACCTCGGCCTCCCAAAGCGCTGGGATTACAGGTGTGAGCCACCCCGCCTGGCCACAGATGCCTCCTTCTAATCAATATGTTTAAAGAAAAGGCAACTACAGGACTGGGCATGGTGGCTCACTCCTGTAATACAAGCACTTTGGGAGGCTGAGGCGGGTAGATCACCTGAGGTCAGGAGTTCAAGACCAGCCTAGCCAACATGGCAAAACCCTGTCTCTACTAAAAATTCAAAAATTAACCAGGCATGGTGGTGGGCTCCTGCAGCTCCAGCTACTCGGGAGGCTGAGGTGGGAGAATGGCTGAATCCAGGAGGCAGAGGTTGCAATGAGCTGAGATTGTACCACTGCACTCCAGACTGGGTGACAGAGCGAGACTCCTTCTCGAAAAGAAAAGAAAAAAACAAGGCAACTCCCTAGGATTTCAAGTCCCATGTCTGGATCCCACTTGTCACAGTCCTAGCCAAGACTTCGATTGTGACTTTGTCCTGGGTTAATGCAAGGCCTCCTAACTTTAGCGGCCCTCTCCTGTCTCTTTCAGGAGCAGCTTCAGCAATATGTCTAGAATGAAAATTCGATCACCCTGCCCCCAACACCTACACACAATCCCCTTTAAAAATGTGCCATGACATTCCTGTGCTGTTAGAAATAATTTTAAATTTGCTATCATGGCTTTCAAAGCCTCATTATCTTTTCATACATTAATCTCAGATTTCTAATTTTTCATTTCTGGATGCTTCCTACTACTGTTCAGTTACCCACAGACACCACACAGAGTACAACAGATACAGTTACACTGAACTTTTTAGTTTTTCAAAATGTGTATTGCTCTCTCTCCTATTCCATTGTCTGCACAATTATTCCTATTCTCTTTGTACAACGTGCTTACTGCGTCCTGCCCAGAATATTTGGAGCATTCAGTTTTCTGCTAAAATTGCATTTATTTCTCAGATAGCTTCGTGACTCCTCAGTGAAATCCATGGGCTGTGTGTTCTATTGCTCATTTAACAAATTACCATGTATTTGGTGGCTTAAAACAATGCAAATGTATGATCTTACAGTTCTGTAGATCAGAAGTATGACTCATTTCTAATTTGGCTAAAATCAGGGTGTCAATAGAGATGTGTTCCGTTCTCAAGGCTGTAGGATAGAATTCATTTCCTTGGCTTTTTCAGCTTCTAGGTGCTTCCCTCATTCCTTGGCTGGTGGCCCCATTTCATCTTCAAAACCAGCAATGGAGGATGGCATTTTCTTCTCACAGTGGATGATTCCAGACTGACTCTCCTGTCTCTCTCTTTCATTTATGAGAACCAGTTTGATTACATTGGACCCACCAGAATAATGAAGGATAATTTTTCTGTTTATAAATCAGCTTGTTAGCAAAATTATTTTCATCTGCAAACTTATTTTCCTATTGTCATATAGGATAACATATTCCTCACTTTGAGGAATGAGAACATGGATACTTTGTCCACCACAGGCTGCTAACAACACTGCACCTTCATGACTGCTTACATCTCGGGTATCAGAATCACCTCCCACTCACTATAAGCCAATTTAGTAAGAATCAGCCAATTTTATTTATCATTTTAGCCTTTGTTCTTAGTACGTGATGTCTTATATAATGTAAGATCACACTTAATAATTAAACACACATTGTAAATAAAAAGCTGAGTAATCCTGGGAATATTCCTGAAAGATATTGAGTGCCTGGAACTGTGACTAAGAGACATATTATTATTTCCTAGAGAATTTTAGATTCTAGAGCTTATTCCTGGCTTCCTTATTTTATACTAGGGCTAACTTCTTCATTATCATTATTTTGCCTTGTATCCAAATAATTTTATCAAAAACCACATTGCTTTGAAATATGTTTCTTCTTTTCACTCAAGTCCCTGACTTGCTTCTGTTCTTGATTCCCCTTTGCCCTCCATTTTTTGTTCGTTTATTGTGTTTCAATAGAGTGGGAACTGAGAGAAAAGCGTGATAAGACAAAGTGCTCAGAGCAGGTAAAGGATAAATACAGTGGGAAGGAAAGACACGTTGGGGGCCTCTGATTACTGTTCTATATTCAAGTACAGTTTTCCCTGGGAGTCTATGGGTCCCCCCATCCACAGATTCAACCAACTATGGATTGGAAGTAGTTTTTTTAAAACACAATACAAATAATGACACAATAATACAAAAATAATAATACTTAAAAATACAGTGTAACTATTTATATAGCATTTACATTGAATTATGTATTATAAATAATCTGGAGATGATTTGAAGTATACCGGAGGATGAGCAATGGCTATATGCAAATGCTGTGCCATTTTATATCAGGAACTTGAGTTTCCATGGATTTGGATTATCAATCCAAATCAGTAACCAATGCTGTGTATATGAAAGGATGACTTTCATCCTTTCTGTAACCTATCTTGTGTATATGAAAGGATGCCTATATTCTACTTGTGATTTAATTATTTTCAGATTTGTGTTGGTATCTAATTTCACTATATAAATTTTTGATGAAACTTTTTTATAGGCATATATGTATTGACTTTTTTTCTATAAGGCCTTTTTTGTATTTTGTCATAAAACATTTTTTCGTATTTTGCCCAGTATTTGAAAAAATTTTTTATTTTGTTTAATTTAAATTCATACTTATCACTATCATATCCATTACCAAAGTAGAATATATTTCCAGAAGATGATAATGACGAATTTATATTCATGCAGTTCATATATAATCTGAACAGAACTGTGTCCACAAATTTACCGAGACGATAGCAACTGTATTCATTTCTCTTGTATGATTTTAGTCACTTCTTTTAGGCCATCAAATTTGTCACACATGGTTAATTTAGCTTTAACTTCACTACAAAATAGTATTAGTGGAATAGACATGGTATAATGTATTTTAAGCTCCTCATGCCTTACTTACACTAACTGACACATTAACATTCATTCATTTTATTCAATTTGTACAAATGCTTTTGTGGCCACAGAAAGGCTGAGGAAGAAATCCGATATGTTTAATACCTATTATCTGTACTTCCTGAGATTCAACTACATGATATTGCAAATTTTGATATATAAATCAATGTCATATAGCTCCAATTAATAAATAATTATTTAAATTTCAAGAAATATATGAGGCACATCATATAAAACAATAGAACACAACATTTTATGACACTGAACTTTGTGAAATTCTAATTTTATGGGATTTCACCTTTCACTTACACAATTAATACATTTATTTCCCTCCCCCAATCATATGTAGTCATCACGACCAAAGACACTATATATTAGGCAATTAAATTTTCCCAAGAAATTTACCTTATTCCTTACACTAGCTCAGTTAACAGTGCTATTACTGATATTTTGAAGCTAAATAAACCATAGCTTATGTAGATTATATTATTAAAAGTCATACATTAATAAGTGTCTGATTTAGGATTTAAGCCTAGAAATATTTTATTTCATAAATCACAATTAAAATCATCGAGTCATAGAGAGCATTTCTAGATATGAAGACTTTTTTAGAATTGCAGCTTAAGTAACACTCCTCTTTAAAAAACAAAAACAAATGAAACCCATTTGTGTTTTAAGTTTTACAATAACTGACATTTAAGTTTTACAATAACTGACATTATATATCAAAATATATAGATTTTATCAACAATGTTTGAATTTCCTTTTTTCTGAAATTAAGGTTTTTTTGTTTTTTTGTTTTGTTTTGTTTTGTTTTGTTCTTGAGACAGAGTCTCGCTTTGTCACCCAGTCTGGAGGGCAGTGTAGCGATCTCAGCTCACTGCAACCTCCACCTCCCAGGTTCAAGCAATTCTCCTGTCTCAGCCCCCCGCGTAACTGGGATTACAGGCACCCACCACTATGCCCAGCTAATTTTTGTATTTTTAGTAGAGACAGGGTATCATCTTGTTGGTCAAGCTGGTCTCGAGCTCCTGACCTCAGGTGATCCACCCACCTCAGCCTCCCAAAGTGCTGGGATTACAGGCGTGAACCACCGCACCCGGCCAAGATTCTTAATGTAATATGTATGTATGTGAGAAAGACAGTGAGGGAGGTTGTTGGGAGAGGGTTTTGTGTGCTTGTATTTTCTTGCCCTGCATCCATTTTCCTGTTTTGGTAATAGTTAGTTTCTTTTGAAAATCATCCCTCTTCATGCTCGTATATGTAGTCCAAATGGGACTGAAGTCCTGCTCATCCTTGCTACAGAGGCAGGCTCATGGCCTTGCACTGGTCTGTTTATTTTACAACCTAGCCATGGTACTTGGTTTGGGGATGGGTCTGGGTCTACACTTAATCCAGTGAGAATGAGTTGCATGAAATTTAATTAAATTTGAGTAAAAGTATTTTTTATTGTGATTGTAAGATGCATAGATTTGAGTTGTGACACCACATAGATAGTGCCTAAGAGTGAATACTACATGGAAGTAGAGGAGGAAAATCAAACACTGTTTGAACCTTTGGGTCCAGGCATTTTTGAAGATAACTAACTTGTTTTTATATTTTCATTTCTCAATAAATCTATTTGCTTAAGCCATATAATCTGATTTGTCAGAAACTGTTTTATTCCATTGCAGATTTGTTTATTGTATTGCAAACTCTAGCTAGCTTAATCACACAGAAATATATTACAGATTATTAAGTTTAGAATTTATGGAATAGAGAAGCAAAAAACTTTGAGTCTCCCCATCAGGAAGAGTGACTTTACTATATCATTGCCCAACTTGCAACCTCCATGGTGATGGAGACTGTGTACTAGAAACTCCACTGTGGCATCCCCAGAAAAAAACATATGTTACTACTGCTCTACTTGAAAAGAGATGGCCTCTTCCCAGATGAATGTTATCTCACATTGCTCGATTTTGCATTTATATCTTGTGTGTCTACTCTGAGGATCTTAGCTTTGAGAAAATATTGGAAATGTTTTTCTTTCCTTTCCAGACTCTATGGCACAAAGAGGCACTACAGAAAATCCCAGAATTTATTCTGACTGAAGCAATATGCAACTGGCAAAACTGGCAGCTGAAAGGATCCTGAATAAGAAGGTAGTGTGACCATCAACATTTCTCCAGCTTACCTTACTAGCTCAATGTTACACTCTGAGAATTACCATATTTAAATTCTACATTGTTATAGAAAATCTTAGCATGTATGATGGTGTTGTTACCCAATTTTCAGTAACTTATGAAACTTACGACATTTTTCTTTTTTGAGACAGAGTTTTGCTTTTTGCCCAGGCTGGAGTGCAATGGTGCAGTCTTGGCTCACCGCAACCTCCGCCTCTAGGGATCAAGCGATTCTCCTGCCTCAACCGCTCGAGTAGCTGGGATTACAGGCGCTGAACACCGCACCTGGCTAATTTCTGTATTTTTAGTAGAAACCAAACTTCACTATGTTGGCCAGGCTAGTCTCAAACTCCTGCTCTCAAGTGATCCACTTGCCTTGGCCTCCCAAAGTGCTGAGATTACAGGCATGAGCCACCACGCCCAGACCCAAAGCTTATGACAATTTTGTAACTCATCAGGGATACCTCAAGAGGTAATCAGCTAAAATACTATCCATTGGTGGCTCATGCCTGTAATCCCAGCACTTTGAAAGGAAAAACAGTGTGGATTGCTTGACAACAAGAGTTCAAGGTCAGCCTGGCCAACATGGAGAAACCACTTCTCTACTAAATATACAAAAAATTAGCCAGGAGTGGTGGTGCACACCTGTAATCCCAGCTACTTGGGAGGCTGAGGCACAAGAATCGCTTGAACCCAGGAGGCAGAGGCTGCAGTGAGCTAAAATTGCGCCACTGCACTACAGCCTGAGTGATACAGCAAGACTCTGTCTTAAGAAAATATCTATTGGCTTACCTAAGAATGTAGAATCACTAGCGGCTTTATGTTTCTTAAAAGAAACTCTGGAAGAGCCATTCTAGCCTTCAGTTCATTTCTTTCCATTCCTTAGAATACAGGCCCCCAAACAATCCATAATTACCCAGTGTAGACTTAGACAGGCAAGGTTTGTGTGACTTTCTCAACCACACACAAATTTTCAAAGGAGTAAAGCATGTGGTATCTCTATTAAATATTACAAAGTGTCAAAATTACAGGGTATAACTATGTAATTTGTGAAACATATGCTCTGTTTCTATGTTTTCATTAAAATTATAAAATCAGAATTTCTCATTATAGTATGAAATATAAACACTCACTTGGAATAAGTTGCTAGCACAATCTGGTTAGGAGCTGCTGTGGTTTTCGTGGTTAGAGGCTGTATTAACTTGTTTTCATGCTGCTGATAAAGATATACCCAAGACTGGACAATTTACAAAAGAAAGAAATTTAATGGACTCACAGTTCCACGTGGCTGAGAAGGCCTCACAATCGTGGCAGAAGGTGAAAGGCACATCTCACATGGCAGCAGACAAGAGAAAAGAGAGCTTGTGCAGGGGAAATCCCATTTTTAAAACCATCAGACCTTGTGAGACTTATTCACTATCATGAGAACAGCAGAGGAAAGACTTGCTGCTATGTTTCAATTACCTCCCACTGGGTTCCTCCCATAACACATGGCAATTCAAGTTGAGATTTGGGTGGGGACACAGCCAAACCATATAATTCCACTCCTGGCCCCTCCTAAATCTCATGTCTTCACATTTCAAAATCAATCATGCCTTCCCAACAGTCTCCCAAAGTCTTAACTCATTTCAGCATTAACTCAAAAGTCCATAGTCCAAAGTCTCATCTGAGACAAGGCAAGGACCTTCAACCTATAAGCCTGTGAAATCAAAGGCAAGTTAGTTACTTCCTAGACATAATGAGGGTGCAGAGGTTGGGTAAATACAGCCATTCCAAGTGGGAGAAATTGGCCAAAACAAAGGGACTGTAGTCCCCATGCAAGTCCGAAATCCAGCTGGGCTGTCAAATCTTAAAGTTGCAAAATGATCTCCTTTAATTCCATATCTCACATCCAGGTCATACTGATACAAAAGTTGGGCTCCTACAGCCTTGGGAAGCTCTGCCTGTTTGGCTTTGCAGGGTATAGCTTCCCTCCTGGCTGCTTTCATGCAGTGGTATTGAGTGTGTGCAGCTTTTCCATGTGCACAGTGCAAGCTGTCAGTGGATCTACAATTCTGGGGTCTGGAGGATGGGGTCCCTCTTCTCACAGCTCCACTAGGTAGTGCCCCAGTAGGGACTCTGTGTGGGGGCTCTGACCCCTCATTTCCCTTCCTCCCTGACCTAGCAGAGGTTCTCCATGAGGGCCCTGCCCCTGCAGAAAACTTCTGCCTGGACATCCAGTCATTTCCAAACATCCTCTGAAATCTAGGCAGAGGTTCCCAAACCTCAGTTCTTGACTTCTGTGCACCTGCAGGCTGAACACCTTGTGAAAGCTGCCAAGGCTTGGGGCATGCACCATTTGAATCCATGGCCCAAGCTGTAACTTGGCCCCTTTTAGTCATGGCTGG
This sequence comes from Homo sapiens, assembly GCF_000001405.40. NCBI lineage: Eukaryota > Metazoa > Chordata > Mammalia > Primates > Hominidae > Homo > Homo sapiens. Next base: position 25,133,933 of record NC_000005.10, on the reverse strand, counting down.
AATGGTTGTAATGCAGGGCACAAAATCCCTAAGGTGCACATAGCATGGGGACCCTGGACCCAGCCCACAAATCCATTTATTCCCCCTAGGCCTCCAGGCCTGTGATGGGAGCATCTCCCATGAAGACCTCTGACAGACCTTGGAGACATTTTCTCCATTGTCTTGGGGATTAACATTCAGCTCCTCGTTACTTATGCAAATTTCTGTGGCTGGCTTGAATTTCTCCTCAGAAAATGGAATTTTCTCTTCTATTGCATTGTCAGGCTACAAATTGTTCACACTTTTATGCTCTGATTCTCTAATAAAACTGAAAGCCTTTAACAGCAACCAAATCACCTCTTTAATGCTTTGTTGCTTGGAAGTTTCTTCTGTGAGATACCCTAAATCATCTCTCTCAAGTTCAAAGTTCCACAGATCTCTAGGGCAGACCCAAATGCCACCAGTCTCTTTGCTACAACATAACAAGAGTCACTTTTGCTCCAAATCCCAACAAGTTCCTCATCTCCATCTGAGACCACCTCAGCCTGGATTTTGTTGTCCATATTATTATCAGCATTTGGGGCAAAGCCATTCAACAAGTCTCTAGGAAGTTCCAAACTTTCTCACATTTTCCTGTCTTCTTCTGAGCCCTCCAAACTGTTCCAACCTCCACCTGTTACCCAGTTCCAAAGCCACTTCCATATTTTTGGGTATCTTCTCAACAACACCCCACTCTACTGGTAGCAATTTACTGTATTAGCCTGTTTTCCTACTGCTGATAAAACATACCTGAGACTGGGAAGAAAAAGAGGTTTAATGGACTTACAGTTCCACATGTCTGTGGAAGCCTCACAATCATTGGGGAAGGCAAGGACAAGAAAATCATGTCTTACATGGGTGGAGACAGGCAAAGAGAGAGAGAACTTGTGCAGGAAAACTCCTATTTTTAAAACCATGAGATCTTGTGAGACTTAATCATTATCACTGGAACAGCACGAGAAAAACTTGCTCCTACATTTCAATTGCCTCCCACCAGGTTCCTTCCACAACACGTGGCAATTCAAAATGAGATTTGGGTGGGGATACATTCAAGCCATATCAGAGGAAAATATGCTTTAAGTTATAGTGATACTTCATGACAACCCACAGAAGCATATTTGTTCTTCCAGCCCTTAAATATTTTAGATTACCACTCTCAAGAAGATAGGGTATATTTCCTACTTCTGTTTATGTCAATAGCCAGCCATCCTTTCCTCATTATGTTTAATCCATGCTAAAATTCTGATTGTTACTCTAAATTTATTTCTGGCTTAGGGCCTTGTCCTTTTCATTTACTTTGTCTGAGTCCAATTCTACCCACCCAAACAGATTTGACCTCTGGCTCCCAGAAACAATTGTCTAGTTTTATTTTTTCTATTTTTATCACTATGTGAAATTATGGAATTAATGTGTATTTAAATTGTATATTTTCTACTCTGACATCAGCACCCAATCTAGTTAAGAACAGGACATCATGTTTCTTCAAAACTGTGCTAGTGGCTGGATTACAGCATATATATTAAGAGGAATTTGAATAGATATTTGTAGAGTCAGTGATAGAATAATTTTTAGAATGAAAAAATAAAATTTTAGTGCAGTTTTTGAAGGTTCTGAATGTAGCCATCTAGAGAACTTTTTAAAGCTCTAAATTTTCTTATTATTTTCCTAATATAGAGTATAGAGACACACCTGTAAAAGGAAGATAATAAGTTAGCCCTAGATGACCCATAATTACCTAAATAAATAATGAATATTAAACAATAATAATGACCTGGTTTATGAACATTCCACTTATTCCCTTAATGATGCTTCTGTTATTTAACTGAAATGGACATCCTCCCTTATGTTATAATTAGGAGCAAAGGACTGATTAGAGAATGTACTCACCTCTTTTAAGAGATTTTCTTGTGAGCATATCTGTCCCCATTCATGATACTTTAAAAAGGCTAATGAATGCAATTTAAGATAGTGTCTATTTTCTATTTATTAGTTAATATGGTCTTTTTAAAAAGTGTATAATGTACAACCTAGTTTTGCCCTCGTACCATACATATCAAAACAGTGTTGTGTTTTTTAATAAAATATACTTCTCCTCCAGATGAATATATATTTCTACCTTCTCCAAAACTATAACCTTATCTGTCTACAAACATATATACCCAGTTCAACATAATCCATGTCTACTTTTAAATTTTTTATAATTTTCAATACATCTTTGTAGTTTTTAAATATTCTTCATTATTTATTTCATCATAATTTTTGGATTTATCTTTCCTTTAAGATTTATCAATCATAATTTAAGTCAAGATATGTTGATTATTTCTTTTTTATTTACAAACATGGCCTTCAAGTTCCCAGAGAAAAGACATATTATTAAAAAAAAATTTGTATGTCCTAAAATCAAGCATTTTTAGGCAGTTATTTTAGTTTTAAGAAACTATATTTACTCAAGAAAAATAAACAAAAATGTTTTTACTTCTAAATAACTAGAACAAATGTTTTTAATAAATCTTAGCAGATTTAGAATAAGTGCAGAATAGATTGTCACTTATGATTTTACTGAATCCAAATATTACATAGTAATCTCATAATGGGTAAATAGAAAAAAATGTGTGTCACAACTTGATTTATTAACATACTCTAATGATTTAATTAGAGTATATTTATACATATAGACATAAATCTTATACAATACATGTACAAAACTTATAGAAACCATCAAATTATTTTTAATAATTGAGTTCATATTTTATAATATACTTGGATTATTTAATGTAAAAATTGAAATTTTTTATTTTTCCATTAAAAGGAAGAGTAAGTGAACTAAAATTTAGTTAAATAAAATGTTTAACAAGCTGGATAATTTATACTAGTGAATGGGTTATACTGATACAGATAACGAATTAGTCACATGCATTTAAAATTTTAATGTTTTTAATTTATTTTACATAAGCTGTACATTATATATAATATTTATTTATTTAATTCACTATAGGCTTGAAGGCACACAAATTTTATGTATACTTTAAATAAACAATATATGAGATATTCTGCAATGATAACATATGTTGATTTTCTCATAGGTGTCCTGGTATTTAATCCACTAACAAAATTAAGATAAAATCGTAGGTAACTTTATTTTTGTAGTATTTTAAAAACACAATTAAGTATATATGTAATAAATTTTATTTTAAAAATGTTGGAACAATTTCTAGCCACTAAAGAGAAGGCTTTTGTTATTTTTATTCATGCTAGTACCATTCAACGTTCATTAATAGCATTTGTTCGAATACATTTATTACAGAACTCCTCAATTTGAATCCAGGCTCTATGCCAGGTATTGGAATACAATAAGGAGCAAGACAGAAGAATTTACCCGGTAGCAGGGTAGGAAGATGACCATCTTTGCATCAGAATAACTGTATAGTAGTGTAGACAGGAAGTAAAATGCAAGTATATCTTAAAAGAAAACAACAGTATCTCTGTGATTGATACATGAAGTGGCCATCTCAATATGATCAATTATGTTTGGAAAGAGAAATTCCCTCAAACATATAAGAATGGACTTTTAGTCTCACCTCCCTTATTCCAGTCTTTGTGTAATCTTGAAAGTGACACAGCCTTTTGTGGTATTTTTCTGGGTTGTAAAATGTGAAAAAAGATTATTCGCATCTCAAAATTACTATCAGGATTAAATGAAAGAATTTGCATAAGATATTGATCTGCAGTACAGTATTTCAAATAACTCAAGCACACACATACATATTTGTAATATATATATATGAAAAAAGGCAGATAATGTCATTGTAATCTAGGTGATAGAAAAATTATGAAAATACTAAATCATCAATTTGTTGGTAGATTAAAATCTGAGCACTGAATTTATTACGGTGCAATTTTTGGTTAATCTTTTTCTTAGAATTTGAAATTTAACATTTTTATTCTTCCCCACAGTGAGAATAAATGAGAAAATGAAATCTCAGGGGAACTTCTTTGATTTCCTGCTTCAGATCTTTTCTCTGTGTTAGGGATCTATATTGCATAGTCTTCTTTTGATCTCTATCTGAAAAGGCCACTGAAAACAGGTAGAAACTTTGGTATGAAAAGTGCTATATGGACACATACCAAAGTTTAAAGAAGAGTGTAATAAGGATATTCCAGCTATATTACAACTATGTTAAGTCCAATTAATGTTTTTAAAAGACTAATAATAGGTCTCCTTATATATTCATCATCTCCCATTATACATTGGTATTAGATTTATAATTATATAAGATTTTGCCCAAAGACTAAAGGTCAAAAGTAGATATAGACAGCATCTAATGGAGAATATTAGATACCAATATTTTAAAATAGCCTTTAATGATGATAGAAAAATTAAATAATCCTATGTAAAATGGGTCAAAATTAAAAACACAAATTCCACAGAAAATGATGCAAATATCTAACTGACACATACAAAGTCTTTATATAATTAGGGAAAAGATTATCAAAAATATTACAATATCAATGAATAGTTTGGAAAATCAAGCAATGTAATTATATCCAGTGCCTGTTAAAGCAGGGCACATGGGAGTCCTCATACATTACTGGTGGAACTGTAAGATGCTATAGTGTTTAGAAACATTATCCAGGAGGATATTTTTAAATAAAATTAAATGTGCTTATTATATGCTCAAGCAAGTAATATTATTTTTGGAAAATTATTCTGCAGAAATAAATTTAACTGTAAACACAGAATAAACACACACACAAAATCACATGCACCATATTTGGCGATAATAAAAACTAGAATTCTCATAGGAAAATTATTGAAACACATTACATAAGTATATAATGAATTAATATCAGTAAAATATGGGTTAATTTAAAAAAATAGTTACTACATGCCTCCTGTTCTAAAAATAGTTACTATATGCCTCCTGCTTTCAATAGGCCCACCATTTGAGGCCTTGATTATACAATAATGATTAAAATAAGTGGTTGAACTGTAAGGCCGTACCAATACTGGTTAGTGTGAGAGCATGCAATATCTCATTGCCACAGACATAGGAGGGTTCACGTCTACTCTCAGGCTCTGCTCCAATGACCTCCACTAGGGGCTCATGAGAAAGAATGAGGTTGGGGGCAGGTTGGGAGACTGGAGAAAGTTGGTTCCACAGAGCTGTACCGGAGAAGGGGAGCAGCTGCTACCGCAGAAAGGAGAAAGTCTTGTTTACATCATGTTTCCTCCAAGGAGCAAAAGCTTTAAACTGCTTGGACAGGAGCAACCATCTTGTTATTCTGAGAGAACAGGAGAAGATTTACTATAGCTGGAGAAAAAGGAAAAGAAAAAAGTCCTCTACCCCTGGGAAAGGGAAAAATTACATATCTGCCAAGAGAATCAGAAGGCTCTTAGTGATATGAAAGTGGCAGAAACCCTGATGAAACCCCACATCTGAGACTTAGTAACACAGGATCTGCCTAAGACTGAGACTAAAACTGGACCCCAGAGAAAATTCACCTTCTTCAACCCCCACCAGGTTAGCCAGCACCAATTAACAAACAATAGCAATCTATAGCTGTGGGAGGGAAAAAAGAGGATAGAATGATGTCCTCTCTAGGTACAAGCACATGATGAAGACCTAAAGCTAAGCATAGTGCAAGAAAATCCTTTAGAAAACCACAGCCCACATTAAGCACATGGTGACACTGAAGATATTTGAAGGTAATGATGCAAGGAAGACAAAGACAAAATCCCAAACCTGCTCAACTTCTGAATAGTGGGAAAAAATTAATCATGATAATGGCTAAGGAAAACAACTGGGATTAATATGTTAAAGCTGCTAGGAAGGCAACACACATAAACACATGAGAAATTTCAGAATAGAGATGGAAAGTATAAGGAAAAGAAAAATTGAAATGTGAAATATAAAAATCATGGCACCTTCACAGTAAAAAAGACCACAATTTATCAACACGTAAATCTGCAAAACTAGGAATTATCTTCTATTTTCATCCTTACCAACTTAGAACTCAAATCTGTCCCAGTGTTGCCATATATATTACCAAAACCTTGGTAACCAGTTACTATTATTTTTTGCCTAAATCAAGAGTCAAGAAACATTTTCTAGAAAGATACATACAATATATATTTAGGCTTCATGGATCACTGCGTATTTGTGGCAACTATTTAATTCTGCCATTAGAGTGAAAAAAGCAGTCATATACAATATATACAAAAGTGAGGATGGCTACTTCTTTAGTTTGAATGTGCCCCCCAAATGTTCTTAATTTGGAATTTCATTGCCATTGTGGCAGTTTTAAGAGATGGAGCTTATTGGAAGCTATTAGCTCCTAAGGACCTCATCTTCCTAAATAAACAAATGCCATTTTTTCAAAACTGGCTCTGTTATCTTGGGAGTTCCATCGTCTTTTCCTCTCTGTCTCACGTACTGTTGCCCTCTCTCATTCTCTCTCACCCATCCATTTTCTGCCCTTCCACTATGGGATGACCCTTTCCAATTGCCAACACCAAATGATAAGAAACTCTTGGACTTCCCAGCCCTCAAAAGCATTGGCCAAATAAACTTCTGTTCTTTATAAGTTGCCTAGTCTGTAGTGTTCTTTTATAGCAGCAGAAAACAGGCTGAGATGGCTACATTCCAATATAATATTATTTACACAAACAGTCAGTGTGTCAGATTTAAGCTACAGACCATCACTGGTGACCCTTGGCCTAAGCTAAAATGTCCTGTAATGTGTACCCCATAGAACTACAGATCTTTATTTATAAAATATAAATCTGATAATGTTGTTTTCCTATTTGAAATACCTCAGTGGTTTTTCATATACACAATAGTGGACAAAATAAAGCCTCTTCTATTTCTACCTATATTTCCAATTTACTATAATTTTGTGTATCACTGTATTAAAGAAATTGTCTTTGTACAACTAAATCCAAATGTGGTCTCCCTAGGTATTCTGTTTCTCAGAAAATTGCTTCCCACATAATGCATAGCACAACCCATCACAATATTATCATTTGTTTATTTCTCTCTATTTTTATTTTCACCATTCTAAGATAAGGTGCAAGAGTGAAGGGATTAGGACTAACTGTACAACCCTGGCATCTTCAGTTTCAAATACGTGCTCAGTGAACATTTGTTGAATGCATGAGTGAATGAATGAATCACACAGAATAAGAGATGACAAGTTGAGTGTCATAATATGCTAGGGATTGACAACTAGATGATAGATCTTCAAATCTCTCACACAAACAAATGTGACTTAGGGTAAAGCTCTCAGAGCTATCATCAGTTTAGAAAACATTTGCTCTATCTTTGTCACATAATATACATTAACTTTTTTTGAGAAAAAATACTGGAGTAAATTTTGAAGTGTTACAATGATGCAAGATTTTAAGCATTTGTTTGTTTTTTGATCTGTTGTTTTTTTCTCTTCCTTTCTCATGTAATTAAGGATTTTAAATGCCGTTTTGGCACAGGATGTCAGAGCACAAGCATGGTGAAGAGGAATCTGTGTCAGGAAGAAGGTGGAAGAGATATGACATTGGTCAAACAGAGAATTGATAAAATAAGAAAACAAGTTGAAAAACTAAAACAAAACCAGGTGCCAAATTTCTCAAAGCCAGAGAATGGATTAAAAATATGGAATGGAAATAAACAAGTATGAAGCCTGATGATTAAACTGGATGTATCAGTAATGAAATCATGGAATCTAAAAAAAATCAATATAAATGTATGTATGCATATATGGAGAGAGAGAGACAGAGAAACAGACAGAGGGAGAGGCCAAGCAACTGGTACAAGTGATACCCTAATCGCAATGAGGACACTGAACCCCCAGATCTTGGTTCTCAATAACATGCTCCATTGAAAAGAATGAGGCCTGATTCTGGAGCTGGTGCAGAAAAATTACAAGATGATCCTGGAATATATATTGTTAAAAATTAAGACAATGTTGAAAGGATAATAAGGTCATCCTGAAAGATTAAATTGTTGTCAGTTTGAGAATTTAAATAATTAATGGCAAAATGGATTACTACTCATTGAATCAAAGAGAAAAACATGAGCCCATATTGTTATAAATACGTAAATGCATATATTGAAAGCTTAATTAGAAACATAGTTTCAAAATAAACTCCCCTAAAATACCTAAGAATGGTAAATTTGTAGAGTGTTTCTTTCTTTATAGTAGAGGAGCCAAGCATGCTTTACCTTAATCAAGTGATCAGTGTGAATATCATCAGGACAAATCAAAAACATGCATCACCTGAGAGCTTGTAAAGAGAGCACAGCATCTCTTTGTGATATTTTCACTAAACGTGCACACCTTGAGTCTAACCGTGAGAAAGGAGCAGACAAATACAAATTGAGGGATATACTATAAAGTAACAGACTTATAATCATCAAAGTGTGAAGGTCACATATGTCCAAACAAAAGGTAGAAAATGTTCTGTACTGGAAGAGCATAAACAGATATGTCAACTGTATGGAATGTTTCACTGTAAAGTGAATCCTGTTGCTAGGAAGGACGTTATTGAGATAGCCAGTGAAACTTAAATAGGGTCTAGGGAGTCGATGGTAGTAATGTATTAATGTTGGTTTTCTTTTTTCTTTCTTTCTTCTTCTTTTTTTTTTTTTTTTGGAGACAGAGTCTCACTCTCTCCCAGGCTGGAGTGCAATGTCGCCTAGGCTGGTACGATCTTGGCTCATTGCAACCTCTGCCTTCCAGGTTCAAATGATTCTCCTGCCTCTGAGTAGCTGGGATTATATGTGTAAGCCATCACACCTGGGTAATTTCTGTATTTTTAGTAGAGATGAAGTGTCACCATGTTAACCAGTCTGGTCTCAAACTCTGGACCTTAGGTGATCCACCTGCCTTGGCCTCACAAAACGCTGGGATTACAGGCATGAGCCACTATGCCTGGCCTTAATGTTGGTTTTCTGATATTACTGGTTGTATTGTGGTCATGCAGCATAGGAATTTTATTTGTGGAAAATACAAACTAAAGTTGGGTAATGGGTCTTTATGGTGGCAACTCACACTTAAATGTTTCCAGGGGAAATGTCTTTGTATTATATTTACCTTTTCCCTAAATTAGTGGTTGATTCAATCTTTTTAAATCATCAAAGTATATAAAAGCCAAAGATAATAAAAAAGATTCATGAATTTGGCAGAAATTCTATGGTATAATTTCTTTACAGGGGTTTCTTTCAAAAGTGATGCAGAGCCAAATAACTTTAATTTGTCTAAGGGGACAGGATGGTGGGCCGTTCTTCTCATATTGTTTGATACAAGGGAGTTTGTAATGAGGATGGAGGAGCTTGTACTCATCTGTAACGAAGAACAGATTCCATAGTTTAGTTTTGACTTCAAGCAACGTAAAATTAGTCCATTTTCACGCTGCTGATAAAGACATACCCAAGACTGGGAAGAAAAGGAGGTTTAATTGGACTTACAGTTCCACATGGCTGGGGAGGCCTCAGAATCATGGTGGGAGGCAAAAGGCACTTCTTTCATGGTGGTGGCAAGAGAATAAAATGAAGAAGAAGCAAAAGTGGAAACCCCTGATAAACCCATCAAATCTCATGAGACTTGTTCACTCTCAGGAGAATAGCGTGGGAAAGACGGGTCCCATGATTCAATTACCTCCCCCTGTGTCCCTCCAACAACACTAGGGAATTCTGAGAGACACAAACAAGTTTAGATTTGGCTGGGACATAGCCAAACCATATCAATGGATTTTATCAACTTTCTACCGCTTATAATTTCCAAATATTTCAATCTTCTTTGTGCCTATTTAATACATATTTGAATTTTAAAAAACTGGTATAACAAATTTATCCAATGTAATTTAAGAGATATGTGCTTTAAAAATCTCAAAAGTGACTATTTTTAAAAGGCAAGTTTGTATTTCTTCTAAAAGATGGTTCATACATTAAAGTTATCTTAATAAAGATTAATACATTCTATTTATATGTTCACATGTCACTGTGACTAGTATTACTTACCATTTTGACATTTGATTATATTATTCTGTCATAGTTAAATCTGTAATAATTTCAATATATTTAGGGTCAATTTTATTATTTTTGAAGGAACCATTTTACTTGAAATATTAAAATGAAGAGAAAAACATGATCCAATATGAAGAAATTTGCTCAATATTTTGTGATGAAAGCAATAACTTTCCAAATATAATGTATATATTCTTATAATTTTGTCTTAAAATTATCTGATCACCTAAACAAAAAGCAAAACCAGTGATTAAGATTATTAAATTTAAAATTTGATTTAAATTTTTTCCAGAAAATAATAGGGTACAGGAAAATATAGCAATATGAAATAACATATATGAGGCATACAAATGTAAATGGAGTAGAAAGGAAGAATTGTTGTCATTTTGTCTCTTTAAAAAGGCTTGGGTTTAGCCTATTCTTTCTATTCCTATTATGACAAGGCTTACTTGATCATGGATAGTTACGTGTTTAGCTAAGTCTCTCAGCAGTTCACATTTGGGCATAAATTGTATAAATGGAAGCCAGTTGTGGTGGTTCATCCCTGTAATCTTAGTGCTTTGGGTGGTTGTTGCAAGAGGATTGCTTGAGGCTAGGAGTTCTAGACCAGCCTGGGCAACATGGCAAGACCCCATCTCTATAAAAATTAAAAAATTAGCTAGACTTGATGGCACACCTGTATTCCTAGCTACTTGGGAGGCTTAAGGGGGGAAGATCTCCTGAGCCCAAGTGTTCAAGTCTGCAGGGAGCTTTGATTGTGCCACCACACCACACTCCAGCCTGGGTAAAAGAGCAAGATGCTGTGTCAAAGAAAATAATAATAATATAATTAGAGATATAATCTTACCTGTATATTCTTACATGTACATTTGCCAATGTAATCATTATTCAAGCCATTTATGGAGGTGATATAGTTTGGCTCTGTGTCCCCACCAAAATCTCATTTCAAATTATAATCCCCATGTATTGAGAAAGGGACCTGGTGGGAGGTGATTGGATCATGGAGGCACTTTCCCCCATGATGTTCTCCTGATAGTGAGTGAGTTCTCATGAGATCTGATGGTTTAAAAGTGGCACTCTCTTCTTTGCTCTCCCTCTCCTACTGCCATATTAGATGTGCCTTGCTTCCCCTTTACCTTTTGCCATGATTGCAAGTTTTCTGAGGCCTCCTCAGTCATGTGGAACTGTGAGTTAATTAAACCTCTTTTCTTTATAAAATACCCAGTCTCAGGTAGTTCCTCATAGCAGTCTGAAAATGGACTAATACATGGAATTGGTACTGAGGTAGTAGGGCATTGCAATAAAAATACCTGAGAATGTGAAAGTGACTTTGGAACTGGGTAACCAGCACAGGTTGGAACAGTTTGGAGGGCTCAGAAAAAGACAGAAAGATGAAGGAAAGTTTGGAACTTCCTAGAGACTACTTGAATGGCTTTGACCAAAATACTGATAGTGATATGGACAATAAAGTCCAGGCTGAGGTGGTCTCAGATGAAGATAAAGAACTTGTAGGGAACTGGAGTACAGGTGACTCTTACCATGCCTCAGCAAAGAGACTGGCAGCATTTTTCCCCTTCCCTAGAGATCTGGGGAACTTTGAACTTAAGAGATATGATTTAGCATACCTCACATAAAAAATTTAAAAGCAGCAAAGCTTTCAGAATGTGACCTGGCTTTTTCTGAAAGCATACAGTCACATGTGTTCACAAAGAGATTGTTTGAAATTGGAACTTACGCTTAAAAGGGAATTAGAGCATAAAGGTTTGGAAAATTTGCAGCTTGACCACGTGGTAGAAAAGAATAAACATTTTCTGGGGAGGAAATCAAGGCTGCAGAAATTTCCATAAATAACAAGAAGAAAATGGTAATAGCCAAGACAATGAGGAAAATGTCTTCTGAGCTTTCCAGAGATCTTCATGAAAGCTTCCCCCATCATAGGCCCGGAGGTCTAGGAGGAAAAAAAATGGTTTCATGGGCCAGGCTCTGGTTGCTCTGTGCAGTCTTGGGACAAGGCACGCTGCATCCCACTCCTCCAACTCTAGTTGTGGCCAAAAGGGGCCAAGATACAGCTCAGGTTGTTGCTTCAGTGAGTGCAAGCCTTGGTGGCTTCCGTGTGCTGTTAGCCCTGTGGGTGTGCAGAAGACAAAAGTTGATTTTTCGGAGAGTCTGCCTAGATTTCAGAGGATGTATGAAATGCCTGGGTGTCCAGACAGAAGCCCGCTGCAGGCATGGAGCCCTCATGGAGAAAAGAACCTCTCCTAGGGTAATGCAGACGGGAAATGTGGGGTTGGAGCCCCCACTGGGGCACTGCCCAGTGAAGCTCTGAGAAGACGGTCACCATCCTTCAGACCCCAGAATGGTAGATTCACTGACAGCTAGCACCGTGTGCCTAAAAAAGCCACAGGCTCTAATGCCAGCCCATGAAAGGAACTGTGGAGGTTGTACTCTGAAGAGTAAAAATAATCTTCTTTGACTTATTTCTCACAGGGACAGAGCTGTCCAAGATATTGGGAGCCCACCTCTCACATTAGTGTCCACTGGATGTGAGACTTAGAGTAAAGAGAATTTTTTTGGAGCTTTAAGATTTAATGAATGCCCTGTTGGGTTTCAGACTTGCATGGGGCCTATGGCCCTTTTGTTTTGGCCAATTTCTTACATTTGAAGCAAGAACATTTACCCAACGTTTGTACCCTTATTTTGCCTTCAAAGTAACTAACTTGTTTTTGATTTTACAGGCTTATAGGTGGAAGGGACGTGCCTTGTCTCAGATGAGACTTTGGATTTGGACTTTTGAGTTAATCATGAAATGAGTTAAAACTTTGGGGAACTGTTGGGAAGGCACTAGGAGTTTTGAAATGTGAAAGGGACATGAGATTTGGGAGGGTCCAGGGGCAGAATTATATGATTTGGCTGTATGTTTCCACCCAAATCTCATCTTGATTTGTAATCCTCACATGTTGAGAGTGAGACCTGGTGGGAGGTGATTGGATCATGGGGGCAGTTTCTCCCATGTTATTCTCTTAATAGTGAGTGAGTTGTCATGAGATCTGATGGTTTAAAAGTAGCATTTCCTTTTTGCTCTCTCTCTCTCCTATTCCCATGTAAGATGTGCCTGGTTTCCCTTTCACCTTCTGCCATGATTGTAAGTATCCTGAGGCCTCCCAAGTCTAATTTTTATAAATTATCCAGTCTCAGGTAGTTCTTTATAGCAGTGTGAGAATGGACTAATACAAGAGCTTAATAAACAACTCAGATTTCTAAAGACATTAAAGAGTTAAAGCTACATGTATAATATTACATGTATATAATACTATACTTCCAAATTAGAGGATAATGTATTTTAAGTAACAATATTTGGGGTCCATTTGCACAGATTCAGTTTATGTACTCTGATGTAAGACCCAGGCATCAGTATTGTTATTATCTTTTTTTTACAAAGCTCCAGATAATGCTTAATTTAGCAGGTTTGGGCAGCAATTACCTAGGAAAAGCAACAATATTTCATCAGAAATCTTCAAGGAAAAGCAAGGGTCAGTGATTTTTAGAGTGTTTTGTGAAAATTTGGTTTTAACAGCAGCGCCTGAAATGATATCAGATGGAAGATTAGGAAAGGGAGAAGCAAGTATACTCCACACCCAATTTATCCTAAACATCAATAGCTTTTTTTGTGTGTATATTATTATTTTTCCTTCAAAAGCATTCTCCTACTAAATATGTTTAAAAAACACTAATGTAACTTTACCCAAGAGAGTCCTAGAGATGCAAAAAATCTTGCCAAGATCACAGAGATAATTTAAAGTGCTCAGAATATGTTCTGTTGGGAGTTCATCCTATAGTTATTTTTTTATAATTCTTGCAGTTCAAATTTAGTAATTATAATTATGTTAATTATTTCTGACTTTGGTCTTAAATTAAGTTCATATAAATCAAAAATGATCAAATATTTGAAGAATGGCTGTCTTGGGATTCTCTGAAAGCCAAAACACTTGAAAATATTGGCCTCAAGTCAAACGTTACTTATGTAATATATCCTCCACCTAGTGTCAGCTAGATGAAACTGCAGTCACATGATGATGATGCTAGAAAGCCTGTAATTTTATTAAGTTCACATTCAAAGTTATTATTAAGGGAGGGATTCTGGAGCCAAGATGGCCGAATAGGAACAGCTCCGGTCTACAGCTCCCAGCGTGAGCGATGCAGGAGACGGGTGATTTCTGCATTTCCATCTGAGGTACCGGGTTCATCTCACTAGGGAGTGCCAGACAGTGGGCACAGGCCAGTGGGTGCGCGCACCGTGCACGAGCCAAAGCAGGGCGAGGCATTGCCTCACTTGGGAAGCGCAAGGGGTCAGGGAGTTCCCTTTCCGAGTCAAAGAAAGGGGTGACGGACGCACCTGGAAAATAGGGTCACTCCCACCCGAATATTGCGCTTTTCAGACTGGCTTAAAAAATGGCACACCACGAGATTATATCCCACACCTGGCTAACAGGGTCCTACACCCACGGAATCTCGCTGATTGCTAGCACAGCAGTCTGAGATCAAACTGCAAGGTGGCAGCGAGGCTGGGGGAGGGGCGCCCGCCATTGCCCAGGCTTGCTTAGGTAAACAAAGCAGCCAGGAAGCTCGAACTGGGTGGAGCCCACCACAGCTCAAGGAGGCCTGCCTGCCTCTGTAGGCTCCACCTCTGGGGGCAGGGCACAGACAAACAAAAAGACAGCAGTAACCTCTGCAGACTTAAATGTCCCTGTCTGACAGCTTTGAAGAGAGCAGTGGTTCTCCCAGCACGCAGCTGGAGATCTGAGAACGGGCAGACTGCCTCCTCAAGTGGGTCCCTGGCCCCTGACCCCCGAGCAGCCTAACTGGGAGGCACCCCCCAGCAGGGGCACACTGACACCTAACACGGCAGGGTATTCCAACAGACCTGCAGCTGAGGGTCCTGTCTGTTACAAGGAAAACTAACAAACAGAAAGGACATCCACACCGAAAACCCATCTGTACATCACCATCATCAAAGACCAAACGTAGATAAAACCACAAAGATGGGGAAAAAACAGAACAGAAAAACTGGAAACTCTAAAAAGCAGAGCGCCTCTCCTCCTCCAAAGGAATGCAGTTCCTCACCAGCAATGGAACAAAGCTGGACGGAGAACGACTTTGACCAGCTGAGAGAAGAAGGCTTCAGACGATCAAATTACTCTGAGCTACGGGAGGACATTCAAACCAAAGGCAAAGAAGTTGAAAACTTTGAAAAAAATTTAGAAGAATGTATAACTAGAATAACCAATACAGAGAAGTGCCTAAAGGAGCTGGTGGAGCTGAAAACTAAGGCTCGAGAACTACGTGAAGAATGCAGAAGCCTCAGGAGCTGATGTGATCAACTGGAAGAAAGGGTATCAGCAATGAAAGATGAAATGAATGAAATGAAGCGAGAAGGGAAGTTTAGAGAAAAAAGAATAAAAAGAAATGAGAAAAGCCTCCAAGAAATATGGGACTATGTGAAAAGACCAAATCTACATCTGATTGGTGTACCTGAAAGTGACGGAGAGAATGGAACCAAGTTGGAAAACACTCTACAGGATATTATCCAGAACTTCCCCAATCTAGCAAGGCAGGCCAACGTTCAGATTCAGGAAATACAGAGAATGCCACAAAGATACTCCTCGAGAAGAGCAACTCCAAGACACATAATTGTCAGATTCACCAGAGTTGAAATGAAGGAAAAAATGTTAAGGGCAGCCAGAGAGAAAGGTCGGGTTATCCTCAAAGGGAAGCCCATCAGACTAACAGCGGATCTCTCGGCAGAAACCCTACAAGCCAGAAGAGAGTGGGGGCCAATATTCAACATTCTTAAAGAAAAGAATTTTCAACCCAGAATTTCATATCCAGCCAAACTAAGCTTCATAAGTGAAGGAGAAATAAAATACTTCACAGACAAGCAAATACTGAGAGATTTTGTCACCACCAGGCCTGCCCTAAAAGAGGTCCTGAAGGAAGCGCTAAACATGGAAAGGAACAACTGGTACCAGCCGCTGCAAAATCATGCCAAAATGTAAAGACCATCGAGACTAGGAAGAAACTGCATCAACTAACGAGCAAAATCACCAGCTAACATCATAATGACAGGATCAAATTCACACATAACAATATTAACTTTAAATGTAAATGGACTAAATGCTCCAATTAAAAGACACAGACTGGCAAATTGGATAAAGGGTCAAGACCCATCAGTGTGCCGTATTCAGGAAACCCATCTCACGTGCAGAGACACACATAGGCTCAAAATAAAAGGATGGAGGAAGATCTACCAAGCAAATGGAAAACAAAAAAAGGCAGGGGTTGCAATCCTAGTCTCTGATAAAACGGACTTTAAACCAACAAAGATCAAAAGAGACAAAGAAGGCCACTACATAATGGTAAAGGGATCAATTCAACAAGAAGAGCTAACTATCCTAAATATATATGCACCCAATACAGGAGCACCCAGATTCATAAAGCAAGTCCTGAGTGACCTACAAAGAGACTTAGACTCCCACACATTAATAATGGGAGACTTTAACAACCCACTGTCAACATTAGACAGATCAACGAGACAGAAAGTCAACAAGGATACCCAGGAATTGAACTCAGCTCTGCACCAAGCAGACCTAATAGACATCTACAGAACTCTCCACCCAAAATCAACAGAATATACATTTTTTTCAGCACCACACCACACCTATTCCAAAATTGACCACATAGTTGGAAGTAAAGCTCTCCTCAGCAAATGTAAAATAACAGAAATTATAACAAACTATCTCTCAGACCACAGTGCAATCAAACTAGAACTCAGGATTAAGAATCTCACTCAAAGCCGCTCAACTACATGGAAACTGAACAACCTGCTCCTGAATGACTACTGGGTACATAACGAAATGAAGGCAGAAATAAAGATGTTCTTTGAAACCAACGAGAACAAAGACACAACATACCAGAATCTCTGGGATGCATTCAAAGCAGTGTGTAGAGGGAAATTTATAGCACTAGATGCCCACAAGAGAAAGCAGGAAAGATCCAAAATTGACACCCTAACATCACAATTAAAAGAACTAGAAAAGCAAGAGCAAACACATTCAAAAGCTAGCAGAAGGCAAGAAATAACTAAAATCAGAGCAGAACTGAAGGAAATAGAGACACAAAAAACCCTTCTAAAAATCAATGAATCCAGGAGCTGATTTTTTGAAAGGATCAACAAAATTGATAGACCACTAGCAAGACTAATAAAGAAAAAAAGAGAGAAGAATCAAATAGACACAATAAAAAATGATAAAGGGGATATCACCACCGATCCCACAGAAATACAAACTACCATCAGAGAATACTACAAACACCTCTATGCAAATAAACTAGAAAATCTAGAAGAAATGGATAAATTCCTCGACACATACACTCTCCCAAGACTAAACCAGGAAGAAGTTGAATCTCTGAATTAGACCAATAACAGGAGCTGAAATTGTGGCAATAATCAATAGTTTACCAACCAAAAAGAGTCCAGGACCAGATGGATTCACAGCTGAATTCTACCAGACGTACAAGGAGGAACTGGTACCATTCCTTCTGAAACTATTCCAATCAATAGAAAAAGAGGGAATCCTCCCTAACTCATTTTATGAGGCCAGCATCATTCTGATACCAAAGCCTGGCAGAGACACAACCAAAAGAGAGAATTTTAGACCAATATCCTTGATGAACGTTGATGCAAAAATCCTCAATAAAATACTGGCAAAACGAATCCAGCAGCACATCAAAAAGCTTATCCACCATGATCAAGTGGGCTTCATCCCTGGGATGCCAGGCTGGTTCAATATACGCAAATCAATAAATGTAATCCAGCATATAAACAGAGCCAAAGACAAAAACCACATGATTATCTCAACAGATGCAGAAAAAGCCTTTGACAAAATTCAACAACCCTTCATGCTAAAAACTCTCAATAAATTAGGTATTGATGGGATGTATTTCAAAATCATAAGAGCTATCTATGTCAAACCCACAGCCAATATCATACTGAATGGGCAAAAACTGGAAGCATTCCCTTTGAAAACTGGCACAAGACAGGGATGCCCTCTCTCACCACTCCTATTCAACATAGTGTTGAAAGTTCTGGCCAGGGCAATTAGGCAGGAGAAGGAAATAAAGGGTATTCAATTAGGAAAAGAGGAAGTCAAATTGTCCCTGTTTGCAGATGACATGATTGTATATCTAGAAAACCCCATTGTCTCAGCCCAAAATCTCCTTAAGCTGATAAGCAACTTCAGCAAAGTCTCAGGATACAAAATCAATGTACAAAAATCACAAGCATTCTTATACACCAACAATAGACAAACAGAGAGCCGAATCATGAGTGAACTCCCATTCACAACTGCTTCAAAGAGAGTAAAATACCTAGGAATCCAATTTACAAGGGATGTGAAGGACCTCTTCAAGGAGAACTACAAACCACTGCTCAAGGAAATAAAAGAGGATACAAACAAATGGAATAATATTCCATGCTCATGGGTAGGAAGAATCAATATCATGAAAATGGCCATACTGCCCAAGGTAATTTACAGATTCAATGCCATCCCCATCAAGCTACCAATGCCTTTCTTCACAGAATTGGAAAAAACTAAAGTTCATATGCAACCAAAAAAGAGCCTGCATCGCCAAGTCAATCCTAAGCCAAAAGAACAAAGCCGGAGGCATCACACTACCTGACTTCAAACTATACTACAAGGCTACAGTAAGCAAAACAGCATGGTACTGGTACCAAAACAGAGTTATAGATCAATGGAACAGAACAGAGCCCTCAGAAATAACGCCGCATATCTACAACTATCTGATCTTTGACAAACCTGAGAAAAACAAGCAATGAGGAAAGCATTCCCTATTTAATAAATGGTGCTGGGAAAACTGGCTAGCCATATGTAGAAAGCTGAAACTGGATCCCTTCCTTACACTGTATACAAAAATCAATTCAAGATGGATTAAAGACTTAAACGTTAGACCTAAAACCATAAAAACCCTAGAAGAAAACCTAGGCATTACCATTCAGGACATAGGCATGGGCAAGGACTTCATGTCTAAAACACCAAAAGCAATGGCAACAAAAGCCAAAATTGACAAATGGGATCTAATTAAACTAAAGAGCTTCTGCACAGCAAAAGAAACTACCATCAGAGTGAACAGGCAACCTACAAAATGGGAGAAAATGTTTGCAACCTACTCATCTGACAAAGGGCTAATATCCAGAATCTACAATGAACTTCAACAAATTTACAAGAAAAAAACAAACAACCCCATCGAAAAGTGGGTGAAGGACATGAACAGACACTTCTCAAAAGAAGACATTTATGCAGCCAAAAAACACATGAAAAAATGCTCACCATCACTGGCCATCAGAGAAATGCAAATCAAAACCACAGTGAGATACCATCTCACACCAGTTAGAATGGCGACCATTAAAAAGTCAGGAAACAACAGGTGCTGGAGAGGATGTGGAGAAATAGGAACACTTTTACACTGTTGGTGGGACTGTAAACTAGTTCAACTATTGTGGAAGTCAGTGTGGCGATTCCTCAGGGATCTAGAACTAGAAATACCATTTGACCCAGCCATCCCATTACTGGGTATATACCCAAATGACTATAAATCATGCTGCTATAAAGACACATGCACACGTATGTTTATTGTGGCATTATTCACAATAGCAAAGACTTGGAACCAACCCAAATGTCCAACAATGATAGACTGGATTAAGAAAATGTGGCACATATACACCATGGAATACTGTGCAGCCATAAAAAATGATGAGTTCATGTCCTTTGTAGGGACATGGATGAAATTGGAAATCATCATTCTCAGTAAACTATCGCAAGAACAAAAAACCAAACACCGCATATTCTCACTCATAGTTGGGAATTGAACAATGAGATCACATGGACACAGGAAGGGGAATATCACACTCTGGGAACTGTGGTGGGGTGGGGGGAGGGGGGAGGGATAGTATTGGGAGATATACCTAATGCTAGATGACGAGTTAGTGGGTGCAGCGCACCAGCATGGCACATGTATACATATGTAACTAACCTGCACAATGTGCACATGTACCCTAAAATTTAAAGTATAATTTAAAAAAAAAGTTATTATTAAGATTGTTTAGTGCAATCTATTCAAATTATAGATGGGGTTGTACAAGTTAATCCTGTTTTCTGCAAATGCTACACAGGTATGTATTATTAGTCACACGTAGAAATAGGTAAACTAGAGCACAGTGATACTTTCTATTGGATAAGTGGAGTGGCATGTGTTATTAACTCCAGAACTTCCATGGACTAGCAATTTGCCAATAACTTTAGTATAACTCACTCAGTAAGTGTATCTGTACATATCCTGCTTAATGAATTATTAGGGAAGAGAAATTCAACCAATTTTTTTATAATATAATGCACTGAATTCTGAAAGTTAATATTCTCAGGGACATATATTGATTTTTATTTATTTCTTTTTCAACTTTTATCTTAGGTTTAGGGGTACATGTACAAGTTTGTTATGTAGGTAAATGGCAAACTCAAGTTATGAAGGTTTGTTGTACACATTATTTCATTACCCAGTTACTAAGCCTAGTAGCCAATAGCAATTTTTACTGGCTCTTCTCCCTCCTTCTACTCTCCACTCTCAAGTAGGTCCCAGTGTCTGTTGTTAACATTTTTGTTTACATGAGTGCTTATTATTTAGCTCCCACTAAAAAGTGAGAACATGTAGTATTTGGTTTTCTGTTCCTGTGTTAGTTTGCCTCTTCACCTCCATCCATGTTCCCGCAAAAGACATGATCTCATTCTTTTTTATGACTGCATAGTATTCCATGATGTGTATGTACCACATTTTCTTTATCCAATTTGTCATTGATGGACACTTAGGTTGATTTCATGTCAATGTTATTGTGAATAGTACTGTAGTGATGATTAGTGTGCATGTGTTCTTATGGTAGAATGACTTGTATTCCTCTGGGTATATACCAGTAACGGGATTGCTGGGTCAGATGATAGTTATGTTTTAGCTCTTTGAGGAATTGCCACGCTGCTTTCCACAATGGCTGAACTAATTCACACTGCTACCAAGAGTGTATTAATGTTCCTTTTTCTCCGCAACCTCACCAGCATACTAATTTTTGACTATTTAATAATAGCCATTCTAGCTGATATGATAGAGTATCTCATTGTGGTTTTGATTGGAGTTATCTAACGGGCAGTGATACTGAGCTATTTTTCATATGATTGTTGGCCATTTGTATATCTTCTTCTGAAAAGTGTCTGTCCATGTCCTTTGCCCACTTTTTAATGGGGTTGTTTTTTTCTTGTAAATTTGTTTAAATTTCTTATAGATCCTGGATATTAGACCTTTGTCAGATGCATAGTTTGCAAATATTTTATTTCATTCTGTACATTGTATGTTTACTCTGTTGATAGTTACTTTTGCTGTACAGAAGCTTAGTTTTATTTGATCCTATTTGTCAATTTTTGCTTTTTTTGAAATTGCTTTTGGTGTCTTTGTCCAAAAAGCTTTGCCCACTCCTATGTTCAGAATGGTATTGTCTAGGTTGTCTTCCAGGGTTTCTGTAGTTTTGAGTTTTACATTTAAGTCTTTTTTTTTTGAGACAGAGTCTCCCTCTGTCACCCAGGCTGGAGTACAGTGGCACGATCTCGGCTCACTGCCAGCTCTGCCTCCCAGGTTCAGGCCATTCTCCTGCCTCAGCCTCCCAAGTAGCTAGGATTACAGGCATGTGCCACCACCCCTTGCTAATTTTTTGTATTTTTACTAGAGACAGGGTTTTACCATGTGAAAAGATTTTTTCCCAGTACTTTAGTAATGAAATAAGCAGTATTATTTTTGAAAATTTTATTTTCCAATGCTTTGTTTCCCCCTATGGGAAAAAAATCAGTGATATTGTTGAAGTCATTGATTAACTGAATTTTTATAATTAAATTTTAAATAATTTTGGCACTGTGTTCACAATTGTCTGAGAATAATGATAGTTACAGATAGTTACATTTCTTGGTCAATCTATCTAAATTTGATTTCTTTTTATTTTCTTATTACAAACACTGAGACCATATGTAAATTGTTTAATACTGGTAAAATTCATAGATTGCTAACATTCTTAAAATTGCCTGATTTCAGAGAATAAAAGAATTGCTGATGAAAATGTTTTCTGTAGATTATTAATAGATAACTACTTTGTTTTCAATACAGAAATATCCTTTTGTCTCTGAATGTTCTAATAGTTTTTAAAAACCACAAATTTATGTTAACTATCAACATTGTCTGCTTACATTGAGATGATGATAGACTTATTTTTAATAATATTAACTGGGTGAATACATTCAGTTCTGTGGCAAGTCAAACTTGCATTTTTAGATTAAAATAAATTTGGTCCAGATTTTTTTCACAATTTTGTGTATCATTGTATTAGATTTGCTAATATTTTCTTTGGGATATTTCATCTATCTTTAATAATTAAAATGACTTTGTCAGGTTATTAAATCAAATTTACATTGGCCTCATAAAATAATATCAGTAGCATTCAGTTCAAATTATTTTATGTTTATGTGGTGACTAAATTTTTCATGCATAAGTTATTCATGTGTTTTGCTTAATTTCCAAACACATGGGGATTTGTTTATTTATTTATTTATTTATTTATTTTTTCATTTGAGACGGAGTCTTGCTCTGTCACCCAGGTTGGCGTGCAGTGGCGTCATCTTGGCTCACTACAACCTCTGCCTCCCAGATTCAAGCAATTCTCCCACCTCAGCCTCCCGAGTAGCTGGGATTACGGGCACCTGCTATAATGCCTGGCTAATTTTTAAATTTTTTGTAGAGATGGCTTTTCACCATATTGGCTAGGTTGATCTTGAACTCCTGACCTCAGGAGATCTGTCAGCTTCGGCCTCCTAAAGTGCTGGGATTACAGGTGTAAGCCACCATGTCTAGCTGGAGATTTATTTTTTGGTTAACTTTTTGTTATTTTTCTTCTATTTTAATTCCATATATAGAGAGATCATAGCACATATTTTAAAATATTTGTAATTAAATGGGGCTTACTCTGTGGCCAAGCAAATTGACAGTTAAATATTCTGAGTACATTGAAAAAATGTACTTTTCAGTTGTAGGATGCATTATTTCATATATGTCAAATTTTGTATTAGGCTGTAAAATCCTACATCTTTTTAATATTATAATATGCTTGCTGTAAAAATTTTTGAGAGAAGTATGTTAAAAACTAACTTTTTATGGGCTTGAATATTTATTTTAGTTTTCAAATTTTGTTTTATGTATATTAAGTGCATGTACATGCAAAATTAAATATTGTATTTCTAGGTAGAATTAAGTTTTGATCATTAAGGTGCAACCTTGCTTTTCCCTTGGTTAAATCTTTCTCTAAAGCCTTCTTCATCACACTTACAAGAGTTAAACTAGCTTTCATTAGTGCTCACATACTATATATGTTCGATCCTATTTGTTTTCCATTTTTCTTATCTTGTAGTAGTTGGTTTCTTATAAATTGCGAAGGGTTAGTTATTTCTTTATATTCCCTCTGGAAAACATTTTTGATTTAATTATAAAATTTACTTAATTGAACAGATTATAATTACTGATATATTTGTTTAACATTTGCTTTCTATTTACCACGTCTTTACCATATGACTTTATTTCCTTACTCTAATTTGGATTGTTAAATTGCTTTTTACTTCTATGTAGTTTTGTAGTTATACATTATTTTAAGCTTCTTAATGAGGTTAATTGTAGATTTTAATTTGCCTCTATAGTTTTTTCAACTTACTGGGTAATTAAATGACACCACAAAATTTCTATTCGAATTTCCATCCTCCCATTGCATATGGTACTATTGTTTATTATTATATCTATCTATCTTTGTGTTTATACACATCTACTGTGCACCTATGTGTATGTGGGTCGTGTTATGTGAGTGTGCATTATACTCCACAAATCTGTTTTGACAGTAGTACACATTTAGAAGTAGCACATTTTATACTTTCTGCTGCCCTTTATTTTATGTTGCATCTCAAAATTTCCATATTAATTCATGTTTCTTCTGCCTAAAGTAAACCATTTAAATAAACCATTTAAAATAAACCATTTAAAACCTCATAGTAATATGAGGCTAAAAATAAAAAGTTATCTGGTTTTGTTGATATTTTGTTTCGTTCGTTTTTGAAGGATATTGTCAATAGGTATAGAATGTTAGGTTGATAGTTTATTTCAGTACTTTAAATATTTTATATTGCTATTGTCTGTGATCTAATTTTGAATGGCAATTAATAAGCTGACAAACTCATTTTTTAACCAGTTGATGGAAATCTGTCCTGTTCCTCTATATGATTTTATGAGTTTGTCTTTGGTGTTTTGAAGTTTTACCAGGGTCAACATGAGGGTAAGGCACGTGAGGCATGTAACCTGAAGTTATAAGGGGGGGACTCATTCTTAAGGCCATGCAAGTTGACACACCTTTTTCTATATGTGAGTACATATGTGTTGCATATACACACATATATAGTCTAGCTTTACTAGTTTTCAGCAGGAGAATTATTCTGAACCACGTACCCTACCATTGTCAAATTAGATATGGTATAATACTCAAGATTTTTATATCATCATCTACAGTATTGTTATTAAGCGTGCTGTTGTAGTTACTTTTATTACCATTACATTTATTTTGATAACACTCAAAGTGAAATTGTCAAAAGTTTGATTCCACAAAGTGTTATATTTTGGATAAGTGGACCCTTCAAGCAGACATATTATTCATAGGAAACCAGTTCATGCTAAGACAGTCTGAAACAATTTTAATTTTAGGTGCACAGACAAAGGTCCAACACACAGAAATAAGATTTGTCTGGTTCCTGCAAAAAGATAAAGAAAATGAAGGAGGGAATTGAAAAAATGAATTGAATGGTAATTATCATAGGGGTGTTTTGGGGTCCTTGTCAGTTGTTTAAGAAAAAAAAAACAAAGACAAAGACATTAAATTCCCTTAAACTCTTTTTTCACACTATGGGGGCTAGGAAATTTGGCTCTCATCTGACCTTGTAAACATAGACAACCGTTTTGGTACATCACTTGCATTACTGCTAGTGTGCTCTAGTTTTATATTTTTGTTTGCTTAACATTCCAAGCTAATCAACTGTTGATCACTGCTTTCCCATTTTCAACACTTATCCCATCACTGCTCTCATAATCTGACTTTTCCTAGGTATGCTGATCTGGACACTCCCATTCTACTAACATTAAGAATCTTCTGCAATAATTGATTTTACTCTTTGGTCCTAAGTTCCCAAATTGGGCCATTTAATTGTTACCAATGTCCCTTACACTGTTGGCAGTTTCTCCCAGATTAAATTATTTCATTCTACTATAAATTCATGTTGTACTCTTCCCTTAAACCATCTCTATTCAAGGTAGCCTGATACTATAATCATATTTTAATGAAATCCACATGCTGAAGGCATTACAAATAGAGCTGAGTATATCTTCAAAATAAATTATCTGAAATATCTAAATAGAAAACAAAGATAAAAAGGATAGAAGACGAGAAAACAAAAAAAGAAAGAAAGAATAAACTGTAACCTGGTGTCCCTTTAAGAAATATCTTGAATCCTATTGCATGCCTAGTTCCTAATACGGAAAAATTTCGGAGGAAATTTATACATCATTAGTCACTCTTTCTCTTTGTCCAGGTACTCTTTCTGGGCTGAACATTTTGCTTTTTCTCTCGTTTGGCATTATTCTGACTCATGCTCTTTTTATCCATTTCTTTCCCCTGGAAACGTTCTTTTGGTTGGCATTTCAGGATTTCAAAACTGTTAAGTGATCCTAAGTTTACTCTAAGGACACATTTATTTCTCCAGACTCTTTTGTGAAATGAGATCACCACAGCCATATAACTGGATTTGCTTTATCACTCAATCAATACTCCTTTCACAGAGAGGTGGCTGGAGAAATCTCAGGGAAAGCAGTGACTGTAAGCGAAAATGAGTTTGAATAGAAATGGAGGCACAAGGGCATAGAGAATTCTCTCTACAGTAATCTAGAGAAATAAAGAAATATAGTATGAGAATCATTGCACCTACAAAAGTTATCTCTTCTCTATTTTTTAACATCTTTCTTTTTGTACTCTGTGTATGTTTATTTATGATTCTTACATCTATCCAGTGCTGTCCCATTTATCTCCTTTTCTACTTTATTTTGCTGTTGTACTGAAGAGATCACCAACTCCAATTTGTCTCTCTGCCTTAGTTACACTTTTCTTTTTAGGTAAACTCTTAAAAGTTAACAGAAGCTAGAAATTAAATTTAAAATGTTTAATATAAATATATTTACACAAGACTTCCAAATACATGCATGTTTTTATATAATTTTACAACTCTGATAGCTGTGAAAGCATTATTAATCGTATTAATAATTCTATATTATAAATAAGAAAACATAGATGTTGAGAAAATTACGTTTCATTCAAACAACTTGAATAAAAAAAGGTAAGTTATAGATTAAAACCCCTTAGTATAGTTTAGGGATTTTGATTAATTTCTCCAAAATTTATGGTATTCTTGTGTTTTATTCTAAAGCACAAACAAATAAAAAATAAAACTAATTAATAATCTTATGGCAAACAAAAAGTGTTAGTTTCTCACTATATCTATTTCAATGTCTTCCAAACAATTTAAAACATCAAAAAGTATAGGAGCATTTTCTTCAAAAGCAGGTAACCATACTCTCTTATTATTATTTTTTTTTTCACAACTTTGACAGTAGCCTTCTACACTGAACTTTGAACCATAGACATGTATAGATGTACAATTTTAGGTGAATTCTTTGAAACTAAAATGATGTAAACAAGGACCACAACAAAAGTTTAGAAATTAACAAAATAAAAGAGCCATTTTCTCAGTACTTTGAGTGAGTTTGGAATTTTGACTACTTTGTGTTTGAATATTTGTTTGAAATGTAAAATTTTGGGGTTATACACAGTTTAAAATTCAGCTAATTCATTTATAATTTTAATTAATATTTTGTTACAGCAAAAGCAAATTCAATTTACAATAATTTCATTGCTTTTTTTATTATTCCATATTTTAAGGTTAGCCAATCATGCCTTCTGCTATAAACTAATTATGTAACCTCTAATGGAAGTCGGAATGAGCATGCATTTGAAACAAAGACTATTGTGATGGTTAAATTTATGTGTCAACTTGACTGGGTTAAGGGATGCCTAGGTAGCTGACAAAACATTATTTGTATGTCTCTGAAGGTGTTTTTGGGAAAAAAAATGACAACTGAATCAGTAGATTGAGTAAACAAATTCTGCCCTCACCAATGTAGGTATTATCCATACATATGCATTGTGTATGTGTGTGTGTATTCTATGTTTAGTTTTCACTTTTCCCAGAGAGAACAAAATCAAGTCCTGAATAGAATTCTAAAAGATACGTATCTACAGATATTCCTGAATATTCCATTTAATCATGAAAAATATTTAATGTCCCAAGAAAGTCTAGGTATATATTTTTTTCTACTTTTATTTTAGGTTCAGAGGGTACATGTTCAGGTTTGTTACATAGTTAAGTTGCATGTTGCTGAGGCTTGGTGTACAAGTGATCCTGGAACTAAGAGAGTCACTATAGTACCTGATAAGTAACCTTGCCACCCACACACCACTTCCCTCTCTCCTCCCTCAAGCAGTTCCAAGTACCTGTTGTTCCTGTCTTTGTTCCCATGTTTATTCAGTATTTAGCTTCCACGTACAAGTGAGAACATGCAGTATTTGGATTTCTGTTTCTGCATTAATTCACTAAAATATGGGCCTCCAGCTCCATCCATATTACTGCCAAGGACATAATTTCATTCTCTTTTATGGTTGCAGAGTATTCCACGGTGTATATGTACCATATTTTCTTTATCCAGTCCACCATTAATGGGCATCTTGGTTGATTCCATGTCTTTGCTATGAGAGTAGAACTCCTATGAAGTGCTATGGGTGCGAGTTTATTTTCGTTTGGGTGTAAACTCAATAGTGGGATTTGTGGGTCGAATCATAGATCATAGTCCTATTGTAAGTTATTTGAGAAATCTCTAAACTACTTTCCATAGTGGCTGAACTAATTTACTAATTTACATTCCCACCAACAATCTGTAAACATTTTCTTTTCTCCACAGCCTCAGCCTCACCAGCATTTTTTTTTAATCTTTTAACAATAGTCGTTCTGACCGGTACTAGATGGTATCTCATTGTGCTTTTGATTTACATTTCTCTAGTGATTAGTAATATTGAGCATTTTTTCATTTGTTGGCCTCATGAATGTCTTTTGTGAAATGTCTGCTCATGTCCTTTGCTTATTTTTTTAATGGGGTTATTTGCTTTTTCTTGCTGATTTGTTTAAATTCCTTATATATTGTGGAATTAGACCATTGTCAGATATACAGTTTGCAAATCTTTTCTCCCATTCTGTAGGTTGTCTGTTTACTCTGTTGATAGTTTCTTTTGCTGTACTGAAGCTCTTTAGTTTAATTAGATCCCGCTTGTCAATTTTTGTTTCGGTTGCATTTGCTTTTGGAGTCTTTGTCATGAAATTTTTGCCAGAGCCTGCACCCAGAATGGTATTTCCTAGCTTGTCTTCAGAGATTTTATTGTTTTAGGTCTTATATGTAAACAATAACCATCTTGAGTTGTTTTTTTATATGGTGTAAGAAAGCAGTCAGTGTCAGTCTTCTGCATATGGCTAGTGTAGGCATATTTTAATTAAGTATATAGTAGGTATTATTAGTAGTATAAGTAGGTATTACTAGTATTAATATTTGATATTTACTACTCAAATAAATTTTGCTCAAATTTTCAATACGAGAAAAATAATATTTTTAAGTCTTACCAGGCATAATTGTGACATTTCTCTATGTAGTTTTCCCCTTAATGTAATGTATCTCTTTCCATCTGTTTCTAATATTTATTAATATTTGTATTTAGCAGTATTTTAGAAAATAAATTTAGTTGTAGGCTTGGTGGTTGTTTTCATGGTATGTTTATTTTTTGTTTTCTTTCTTTTTTTCCTGACTCTCTGTGTTTACCTTGATGAATGTTGATGATCATATGTACTTGTTAGGAAGCACTTGATTATTATTCACGTCTTGTGACAAATGGCACATTATGTGAATGAATGATTGTTTCTACATTTAAATAGTTCCATTAGAAGTAATAACATATGTAATACAATGTAATACAATATTGAACTAATTTCAAATGATTGTTTTAAGCTGCCTATGAAAAGAACAATTACTACTTCTCTTTTTTTTTGAGACGGAGTCTGGCTCTGTCGCCCAGGCTGGAGTGCAGTGGCACGATCTTGGCTCACTGCAACCTTCGCCTCCTGGGTTCCAGCAATTCTTCTGCCTCAGTGTCTCGAGTAGCTGGGACTACAGGCACACGCCACCACGCCTAGGTAATTTTTGTATTTTTAGTAGAGGCTGGTCTCGAACTCCTGACCTCGTGATCTGCCTGCCTCAGCCTCCCAAAGTGCTGGGATTACAGGTGCAAGCCACCGCACCTGGCCTACTTTTAAAATTTCTATTTGCCAAAGCAAATTGTGATTTTTTTTTTCTTGAACCATTCTAATAGATTTTATCCATTTGATTAGGTTCATTTCAATGAAAGAGGAACCTGGCAATACTGTATAAAGTGTTTCTGTGAGGTCCCATGAAGAAAGAAAAGATCAGGAAGAAAATAACCTTTATTTGAAACCATTATGTTTAAAAATAGTTCATTACAATTTTAATTATTCATTTACCAGAGCAAAATTCTAGTATTATGGCATTCTGTCAAGTTCTGTAATTTTAATTAAAAAACTATTTTAGAAATATGTACTATGTGTAACTTCACTTTGTATGGAATCTGGATGACACAGGATTCATAAGCCTTGGCCTGTGGAGAGATTGCAATTGCATAAAACCATGTATAAAGATATTCAAAGGATATTTTAAGGATATAATTTAAGTTCTAAATGGATAACAAAGTACATGTAACCACAATTAAAAGGAAGAACAAATCGATGTCTGATCCTTTGAGATGAGAGGATTTCAAGAGATTAGAGCAAGAGCACAGATAAAGCATAAGCTAAAGGAAAATACAGAGCATAGAAGGAAATAGTGTCAGTATCTCAATAACCAAGGTAAGGAGCTCGAACTTAACCTAATAGGACAATCATTTACAGAGTAGGATCAATCATAAAAGAAAGAGTGCCATATTCAAATCTGTTAGGTAAATGTGGCTGGCAGGTTTATATGGCAACTTGGCTAGACTGTAGTCCTCAGTTTTTCACATACAAGCATCCTTCTATTTATTGCCCTTCGCTTTATTGTGCTTCACATATATTGCATTTTTTTCATATTAAAGGTTTGTAACAATGCTGCAGCAAGGAAGTTTATTGGTGGCATTTTCCCAATAGCATGTGTTCATTTTGCAGCTCGGTGTCACATTTTGGTAATTTCCTACAATATTTCAACATATCTAATGATTATTATATATGTTATGGTGATCTGCAATCAGTCATCTTCCATGTTACTATTATAATTGGTTTGGGCCACCACAAACCAAACCAATATAAAATGATTAACCTAATGAATAAATGTTCTGTGTGTTCTCACTGCTTCACTGACCGGTCATTCCCTCATCTCTTTTCCTCTCCTTAGGCCTCCCTATTTCCTGCGACACAACAATATTAAAATTAGGCCATTTAATAATATAAAATAGTCTCTAAATGTTCCATGGAAAGGAAGAGTTGCAAGTCTCTCGCTTTCAACTGAAAGTCAGAAATGATTAAGTTTACTGAGGAAAGCATGCCAAAACACAAAGACAGGCCAAAAACTAGATCTCCTGCATCAGTTAACTACATTGTAAATGCAAAGGAAAAATTTTGGAAGGAAGTTAAAGTGCTGCTCCAGTGAACTTTATGAATGATGATAAAACCAAAGAGGCCTATAGATGATATGGAGAAAATATTAGTGATCTGGATAGAGGATGAAGCAAGCCATAGCATTCTTTTAAGCCAAAGCCTAATCTACAACAAGGCTCTATTCTCTTCAATTCTGTGAAGGCTGAGAGAGGTGAGGAAGCTGCAGAGGAAAATTTAAAGATAGTCGTAGTGAGTTCTAGAGATTTAAGGAAAGAAGCTGTCCCCATAACATAAAAGTACCAGATGGAGTAGTAAGTGTTGATATAGAAGCTGCGGCTAGTTATACAGAAGATCTAGCTGAGCTAAATGATGAAGGTGTCTACATTAAATAACAGATTTGTATTGTAGATAAGGCAATCTTCTGTTGGAATAAGATGTCATCTGGGACTTTGATAGCTCAAAAGAAGTCATTGCCTGGTTTCAAAGCTTTAAAGGACAGGATGACTTTCTTGTTAGGGGCTAAAGCAGCTTGTGATAAGTGGAAGCCAATGCTCATTCATCTTTCCATTAATCCTAGGGCCCTTAATAATTAAATTTACTCTGCCTGTGCTCTATCAATGAAACAACAAAGCCTGGATAATAGCACATCTATTTGTAGCATGGTTTACTGAAGATTTATACCCATTTTTGAGATTTACTGCTCAGAAAAAAAGATTTCCTCAAAATATTACTGCTCATTGACAATGCACCTAGTTACACAAGAGCCCTACAAAGAGATCAATGTTGTTTGCATACATAACACAGCATCCATTCTGCAGCACATGGATCAAGGAGCAATTTTGACT
Source organism: Homo sapiens (assembly GCF_000001405.40). Classification (NCBI taxonomy): domain Eukaryota; kingdom Metazoa; phylum Chordata; class Mammalia; order Primates; family Hominidae; genus Homo; species Homo sapiens. Next base: position 25,102,073 of record NC_000005.10, on the reverse strand, counting down.
TACAAGTGTTATTAGTTAAGAAATGTACTTCATAAACCTATAGCTGCTATAAATAGTGATTCCTCTGATGGACCTGTGCTAAGAAAATTGAAAATCTTGTGGAAAGAAGTCATCATTCTAGATGCTATTAAGAACATTCATCATTTATGGAAAAAGGTGAAAACATCAACGTTAACAGGAGTTTGGAAGAAGTGGATTCCAAACCCCATGGATGACCTTGAATGAGTCAAGACTTCAGTGGAGGAAGTAACTGCAGATGTTGTGAAAATACCAAAAACCTAGAATTAGAAGTGGACCCTGAAGATCTGAATAAATTGCTGTCATCTCATGATAAAATTTTAATGGAAGAGGAAGTGCTTCTTATAGATGAACAAAAGGAATGGTTTCTCTAGTTGGAATGCACTCATAGTGAAGATGTTATGAACATTGTTGAAATGACAACAAATAATTTAGTGTATTACATAAACTTAGTTAATAAGGAAGTAGCAAGGTTTGAAAGGATTGACTCCATCCAATTTTGAAAGATGTTCTATTGTGGGTAAAATGCCATCAAATGGCATCACATGCTACACATAAATATTTCATGAAAGGAAGAGTCAAATAATGCAACAAACTGCATTGCTTTCTTATTTTAAGAAATTGCCGCAGCCACCCCAGTCTTCAGCAACTACCATCCTAATCAGTCAGTAGCCATCAAAGTTGAAGAAAGACCATACATCTGAAAAAGATTACAACTCACTGAAGATGATAGTTAACATTTGTTAGCATGAAGCATTTTAATTAAGGCATGTATGTTTGTAGACATGATGCTATTTCACACATAATAGACTAAGGTATAGTGTAATCATAACTTTTATATGCACTGAAAAACCAAAAAAATTGTGACACCTGCTTTATTGTGATATTCACGTTAATGTGGTGGTCTGAAACTGAACCCACAATATCTCGAAGTTATGTCTGTAAACCAATATGCGTTTATTGCTGTGAAAATATTTTGTATATGCCATTAACGTCTACAACTGGTTCACTTTAAATAAAGGAGTTTATCTCCGGTAATCTTGGTGGTCCTCATCTTTTTCCTTTTTTTTTTTTCTTTTTCTTTTTTTTTTTTTTTTTTTTGAGTCAGAGTCTCACTTTATTGTCAGGCTGCAGTGCAGTGGCGCGATCTCGGCTCACTGCAACCTCTGCCTCCCGGGTTTAAGCGATTCCCCTGCATTAGCCTCCTGAGTAGCTGGGACTACAGGCATGTGCCACCATGCGCAGCTCATTTTTGGTCTTCATCTTATCAGATAAAAAGCTTAATGACAAACCTGAATTTCCCTGAGGAAAAATAAATTCTGCCTCAAGACTGCAGCACAAGCACCTGCCATTGAGTTCCCAGGCTGTTTTTGGCTTGTTTTATAGAAAAGATACTGTTCATTCCCCACAACCTCATAAGCCAATTCCTTGAAATAAATCTCCCTTATGCCTATGCTCATTTCCATAGACACAGAGAACCATTTGACAAAATCCATCATTCATTACTAATACAAACTCTCTTAAAACTAGGAATACAAGGAGAATGTATGGAAAATCTAATGAAAACACCATACTTAATAGTGCAAGACTGAAGGCTTTCCCCCTGTGATATGGTTTGGCTGTGTCCCCACCCAAATCTCACCTTGAATTCTAGTTCCTGTAATCCACACATGTGGTGGGAGGGACCGGATGGGAGGTAACTTAATCATGGGGGCAGTTACCTTCTGCTGTTCTTGTGATAGCAAGTGAGTTCTCAAGAGATCTGATGGTTTTATAAGGAGCTTTTCCCCGCTTCAGTCTGCAGTTCTCCTTGCTGCCACCACATGAAGGACATGTTTGCTTCCCCTTCTGCCATGATCATAAGTTTCCTGAGAACTCCCCAGCCCTGCAGAACTGTTAGTCAATGTAACCTCTTTCCTTTAAAAATGACCCAGTCTCGGGTATGTACTTATAGCAGTGTTAGAACAGACTAATACACCCTGAGTTCAGAAACCAGGAAAGGATGTCCCTTCTCACCAATTCCTAAACATTGTCCTGGAGGTTCTTGCTAATATAGTAAGACAAAGAAAAAGAAATAAATGGCATCCACTTTGAACAGTAAAACCGTTCTCATGTGCTGGTGATGTAATCATCTGAGTAGAAATTTTTATGGAATCTACCAAAAAAGTAACTTTAGCAAAACTGCAGTTGTTACACGAATATATTAATATACATTAATATTTAAACATATCAATATATAAATATATTAACATATAATATATGTAACATATTAATATACAAATATGCAAAATAAAAATAAATTTTATTTCTATATATTATCAATTAAAAATAAATAACAATTCATAAATAAATATAAATAAAAATATAATACAATTTAAAGTAGCATAAAAAAGAAACTGATAATCGTAATAAAATGTGTCCAAAACATATGAAAGCATGTGTCCACACAAATAATTGCACATTTATCATGTGCACATTTATTATATGCAATGTGCTAAAGCTGAGAGCCCGAGTGTTCATCAGTAGGTTAAGGAAATCCAAATTATTGTATATTTATACAATAAAATACTTTCAAGCCATAAAATAATTGACTATTGATGTATGCAAAAGTGTATGAATCTCTAAATAATTGTGCTGAAAGAAAGCAGAAACCAAAAAGTGTACATACTGCTTAATTCCATGTATTTAAAATTCTAGATAATGAAAACTAATCTATCATCCTAGAAAACAGATTAGTGGTTCCTGTGAATATATGTAGGTTTGAGGAGGGACAGGAAGGAAGGATTACAAGGGATACAAAGAAACTTTAGAGAGTGATGGATATGTTCATTATTTTTATTGTGGTGATGATTTTAAAGGTATATGCATATGACAAACCTTACCAAATGTCCTTAAATCAGTGTTATTTATCAATTATATCTTCATAGAGCTGAATTTTTTTAAATTATACTTTAAGTTCAGGGATACATGTGCAGAACGTGCAGGTTTGTTATACAGGTATACAGGTGCATGGTGGTTTGCTGCACTCATCAACCTGTTATCTACAAAATTTTTAAATAATCTAGGAGAAGCATAAATAATAAAAATATAAAGAAGTGCTGAAATTGGGAGGCATGCCTATGAAATAAATTATTTTTTAGAAGTACGTTTTTTAATTATATTTTTAGAAAATATATAATATAGTTATTAAACGCAGCAATCTTATTTTAAGTGCATGGTTTAAAATCATGGCAGAACTGGAAAATGTTGCTTTCTATTAAAAGCTTTTTAGTACCTTTTTGAATTTTATGTTGTTTTATATATTTGCACCTATACGCATGTCTTCCTTTGACCTATGCAAACACACATACATATAAGCATTTAAGTTATTATTAACGGTTTATATTATTCAATTATTTATTTATTATTGACTACTCTCAACATTTGTTGCATGTGGCAACCTACAGATATAAAAATGTATATTTCACAGGATTCTTTCAGCTAGAGTGATCATGGGACACAATTCTTACATCATTTGAAAAAGTTATTGGAAAGGACTTACATAGTAGCTTTCTAAATTGAAGTCTAGATTCAAAAGGTACACACCATTGTGTTCTTTGCTATTTTCCTTCTTCTTGCATATCAAGAACACTCCTGATAGCCTGATCCACTAAGAAAGCCTGGTTCTGCCGGGCACGGTGGCTCAGGCCTGTAATCCCAGCACTTTGGGAGGCTGAGGCAGGCAGATTACGAGGTGAGGAGATCAAGACCATCCTGGCTAACATGGTGAAACCCTGTCTCTACTAAAAATACAAAAAATTAGCCGGGCATGGTGGTGTGTTCCTGTAGTCCCAGCTACTTGGGAGGCTGAGACTTGAACCCGGGAGGTGGAGGTTGTAGTGAGCCGAGATCGTGCCACTGCACTCCAGCCTGGCAACACTGTGAAACTCCATCAAAAAAAAGAAAAAAGAAAAAAAAAAGCCTGGTTCTATTGAGATTCCTTGTCAAGCATTTTGCATACATTTTTTACATGAAGAGAGAGAGAAAAAAAAGAAATCATAAACTTCTATTTTGTCTGTCACTCATATGTAGTTTTATTGGCACATAAAAGTGAATAAAAATTTTAGCATATGCCCAACACACACATATATACTACATGCATTACACAATAAAAATAATGGTTTGAGTAAGAATACCTGGAGTCCAGCCCCGGATCGCTAATTACATAACCATGTTGCATGTACACTGTTGGTGCTCTATGCGGTTCCCTTTTATCAGTCCAATTTACCCATTTCCAGCTGCTGTTAAATGTCCGATAAAATCTGAGATTCTCATCCTTTTCCAGAAAATTTACTGACTTGTTAATTTTCAACCAAATGGGAGCTGCCTTGATCAAGAATTATGCTGGTTGTGTGAGTGTGTGTGTGTGTGTGTGTGTGTTTGTGTGTGTGTGTTCAAGGCATCCCGAGTACTTGCCACTTCCTCTCATCAGGTGTAGTTAACATTACACTATCAATTTAGCTGTTCAATGTGATTTTTTGCAGAATATCCAGGTGATTTAGGTCTACTGTAAGAAAATCCATAAAATTATACCGGAGTCTTCCACAGATGTGATATTTCAGAGGACTCAGTACTTTTGTGGAATACTGGGATGTCCCTTGAAAATTTAAAGACGAGATAGTGCCATTTGTACTTCTTACCACTCAGAAAGAAACACAACAAATGGTAGACCTCTTTGAGATTCGGCAACAGTGTTTTGAACACTTGGAAGACAGGGCTGTAAGTAATGATCCATTTAAATCAAATTCCATTGAAAACTGCATGCATGTGGCTTTGAACAAAGAAAGTCCTCCACTGCAAGTCCACACTACAGTGTAAGCAGCCATTATTCATTGGGCGATATGAATAAGTTGATCCCATGGTCTTACAGCTGTCTCTGGTGAGTTAGTCTGTTCTTGCATTGCTATAAAAAAATCTGAGACTGGGTAATTTATAAGGAAAATCAATTTATTTTGGCTCTCGGTTCTACAGGCTGTGCAAGAAGTGTGATGCTGACATCTGCTTATGATGAGGGCTTCAGGAAGCTCATAATCATGGCAGAAAATGAAAGGAACGCAGCTCATCATCTGGTGAGAGCAGGAGCAAGAGAAAGAGAAAAGGGAGGTCTCAGAATCTTTTAAACAATCAGATCTCCTTTGGACTAATGAGTGATAACTCACTCATCACCAAGGGGATGATGGTAAACCATTTATGAGGGATCTGGCCCCGTGATCCAATCACTTCTCACCAGACCCCACCTCCAACATTGGGAATCATATTTCAACATAAGATTTAGAAGGAACATCCAAACCATACCATCCAGTAAGAGATGAGGCTGTGTGAAGCCAATGACAAGGCTTAATAGGACAGTTACACACTGACCCTTAGAGTATGGCACAAGATCTTGACATCTCTAGAAGATAATTATACACATTCGAAAATCTTGCTACTATTACCGTCTTAGAAACTTGCCATCGGTTCTCCATGCAGCCAGGACTGCTCATTAAAAGTAAGTTCAGATGAGCCCATAAGGCATCCATTGTAAAATAGAGTAATACATTTAAAAAGTGGCCCAAGAGGGCACAGAGGTCACATGGAAGCTGGACATGCAGATCACAAAACTCCTATGTCATCCTTCACTGTTACACTGATACCTCTCTGTTAGATAACACCTATGGCCTCATTGAGATGTCCTATACCTAGATGATGGAGGATGAAAAAGCTCAAAGTTAGTGCAAGGATGAATTAGCTCAGTATGGGTCTGCATGTCATGGAGTGCTGCTGCACAATTGTTCCAAGTAGGCGTGGCTTTGAAAGCCTATGGAGAGGAAGGAATATGTCCCCAGCAGGCAGAATTTGAGCGGTGTACCCAATCATCCACTTAGTGTGGAAACAGAATTAACCTGGGGTAAAGATATGCACGATTATAAGGGCAGTCTGGGGAGAAGTCACAAAGATGTACCTGTAAACCATAAAATATAGTGCTCAGATATCTGCATCACAGCTTAATCTCCATCAGAGAGTATGGAATCACCAAGTGCACATAACACCTCAGCCATTAAATGCTAGCTAGTCTTTGTCCTTAAGTATTCCAGTGCTTTACCATGAGATCATGGAATAAATAGTCATGGTGGCATAGAGACTGTGTATGGGTCCAGCAGCATGGATTCTCTGGCAAGCTAATTTGATCTACGTCTGGCTGCTACTGAGAACTTCATCTGCCAGTAACACAGAATGGTGCTCAGTCCATAATAAAGCACACATAGAAGACAGCAAAGCATTTGGTGTCAATTTGATTATAATGAACTCATTAGGATCTGGAAAAGGCAGTGATTCATCTTAAATGTGATTGTAATGTACTCTAGAAATGCCTTTTCCTTTCTTTGCGCTGTTGTTCAGCCAGCACCACTATTTAAATACTTATACCATGTCTGATCTACCAACATGGAAGCTCCTCTAACTAAAGTTTTCAAGCCAATGATGCTTTATAGCAAACATGCTGCAGTGGTGTGCACATGACCACAGTTCAGCCACAAACTACACTATCTTGAAACTGCTTCTCTGATAAAGCAGGGGAAGAGCCTTTTGAAAAAAACAGTTGAGAAGCCAGCTTGAAAATGAAACTATAAGAGGATGTGATTCTCTCATTCAGAATGTGGTATAATTCTTAAACCGGTGGCCCTGACATACTGCTTTGTTTCCAGCAGATGGAATACATCAGTCTGGTCATGAAGGAGTGGAAGTATCAGTGATCCCACTCACCAGTACACCCAGGGACCACCTGAGGCATTTGTGTTTCCTGTTCTCTCATCATTATGCTCTCTCAGTCTAAAGTGGGTCACTTCCACAAAGAGATGTAGTAAGAGTATCACTAGACTTAAAGCTATAACTGCTGCCTGGAGATTTGGGGCTCTTTGTTTCAGTAGACCAGCAAGTGCAGAAGGAAGTTACCATACTAAAAAAGGTAATGAACTGTAATCCTCACGAAAGCTGCTGTTACATAATGCGGGCAAGGCAAAATGTACTTAGAAGTCAGGAGATCCTCTGGGTATTTACTGGTATTCCTCTGCCTAGTTTTAACTGTAAACAGGCCAGTAAAGCAATACCGCCTAATAAGTGCATGGTAACCAGGATGTGGAACCTTCAGGGGTAAGGTCTCCTACAGCTCCCCACAAGGCAACTACGTAGACCAAAATAAGTACTAGATGAGGAGACTCTTGACTGGATAGCAGAAGAGGTACATGATGAATATCAATTATGGCCTTGGACCAACTGCAGCAGTGCATGCTGCCATTGACTGAACTAATTGTTATATTTAAAGTTTTCCAGAAACTGTGGCTTACCAACATCTTAGAGAAGCCATGTTTAGATGCAACAAACCAAATGTGAGAAGCCAGGAGACCTGAGGCATACAATGAGTGACTGTAACGGAGACTAATGGTATCCCATTTGGATTCCCTGTACTGGAAAAGTTGTATCTCAGCTGCCTTGGGAGTTTGTATCACAGCTGCCTCCTATTTCAAAGACTTACTGTAGTCTAAATAGAAGCCACTGGATTGCCTGATAGGTTATACTCCACTGTAGGGGGCAGGCTGCAGTCAGTGAATACTGAAAACTTCCCTGGCCCCAAGTTCAGACTAATCAGTGGGACAATTTGTCCTGCAGAGTCTCTGATAGGATGAGACTGAGGTAAGGTCTCTAGGAGTCCACATGCTGACTCTACTCATATCATCAACTTCCAGGAAAGAAATCGTAAAGGTGAGGATTGGAATTGGTAACTCACACCTGACCTTTCAGGTGGCTTTAAATATATGTTTTTAAGGTAGGAAAATAGAACATTATTTTTTAATGTTTTTAGCTTGTGTATATATTTTAATTATTTAATCAACTGTATCTGGATCTTAATTTGTACTCTTGTCCAAGACTTTGCAAATATTGGGTTGAATTTAGTATTTTATTCACCAATTGAGATCTTAATTTCTAAGGTTGAACCTTGGTAACATCTTTGTATAAGGCACAATATTACGATATGTCCAAACATTCTGTAGGTACAATATTCTTTCCTTTTTCCGTCTTTTTTGACTAAACATTTTTTATGAAAGACTTACATGCCTGATTTTTGAAATGCATACTAACTCATATTTTCTAAAGCAGATTTCATTTCGTTCTATACTGTCCCTGCTACTAACCTCATTATGTCTGTGTATCATTTTATTGTTTTTGAAATAGTTTGTAGCACCTCTCTATTTTGTATCTTATGAGAACCTTATTAATATTCCATTTACTTGCACTTCTAAATTCTTAATTAAAATGCTAAATAGGATATTAAATCGGATGGAGGTAAAGAGTGACCTCTGTGACAGACCATAAGACAAGCTCCTTGACATAATGTATTGCTATTTATCATATTTTTGATATATTACTTCAGAAAGTTTTCTGTATCTGTAAAATCAATTTATTATTTTCTTAAAATAGAGTTTTGTTTGAAAACTCTTCTTATGAACTCAAGGTCACTATTACAAACTATAAAAATAGAAATCTTCCATTTTACAAAAATCATTAATTAAAATATATGATGAATACATGTGTTAATCAGGTTACAATTTAAGATATAGCTTGCTTTTGGAACACCATCATTAGCCATAATTAATAATAAAAGCATCCAGTTGTAATTGAGTATATTATGCAAGTAAGATTGTTTGGGAAAATATGAATGGCTTATCACATTTGGTTAAATCCATATATATAATGCTAATTCTTTCTTTTTAAGTTTACTTTATCAGGACACAGAACTTAACTTGACAACCAGAGTCTTACATTTAAAAATACCTGAATAAAACTCACTCACTAACTCAGAAGAAATTTGAAAGACTATGAAAATCTTTGAATACAATGTAGAAGTTTTTATTCCAAAACAGTGAAAAGGTGAGAATGTTTTATATATCAATATAAAAATTGACCTGAAGTACCCATGACATTGAATATATATGTTTTGAAGGCACATTATTCTCCTTGTTTAGATATTGAAGTATTTTGTTTTTTCTCTCCCTTTTTTTTTTTTTTTTTACACTAAAACCACACAAGTAATAATTACGGAGGACATATTTTCTGGTGTCTGTAATTATTTTTTAATTATAATTTGGGGCCATAAGATACCAATAATTTTATACTCTTTCTAGTGTTTATTGGTCTTTTCATATTTATAAAATATACCTCTTAAAAGATCTAAGATGTACAAAATGAATTTAACTAGACAGGGATGAGAAGAAAAATGTTGCAAGACACAACTAAGAATCGACACCTGGAAACATTTATCCAAAAATGGTTAATTAAATATTTGCAAAGTATAATCTTGTAATCAAAATGAGTGCAATTAAATCAAAATTTAAGTGAACCATAGATTTAGAGAATTCAACTCACAATTATAAATTATCGAACAAATGTTCTGGGCCACAAATATTGGAGAATGTGAACACATATATTTTCAAAAGCTTATCCTTAATATTATGAAATGCCATTAAGGCATTCTCCACTTTCAAAATATGAAATGTATTCAACAAATATTTATTGAAGATCTTGATACATGAGGCTTTTTTGATGAGTGATGGACAAACTAATGAGTGAGTAATAAAAACAATTATTGCACTTATAAAAATTGAAATGGACAAACGATTGTAAACTGATGACTGTTATAAGAATTTTGAGAGTGAGAAGTGTTGGAAATATAAGCAGCATAATTAGGAAGTGATTGAGGAATTGAAGGAGCTTCCTTATTTAAGGGATTTGGGGAAACAGATTCCTCATCATGAGTTTCACCAAATGCTTGGAATTTAATGAGTTGCAAATGCGTATCTTAAAATGGATGGATCCATCCACTATCTTATGAGGAATTTCAAATTAGGTCCCCAAAACAGTGGAAGAGCCTCCAGAATGCTGCTATGATTCATGCTGAAAATGATTCAGAACTTGGCAAAGAAAAAAGCAACTAACTTCAGTTAGATTACAAACTTAAATTGTGAAACGTTATTTTACACAATGAAAAATGAGGATTATAATAATGGCTTTAAAGATAATTAGACCTATGTTGAATTGTGGTTAGATATCCGTTGTATGTCTATCGTTATATGCAAGCTAATACTGTAGATATGTATGTTTTTTCCCTATGTTTAAATATTATAAATATAAATAACATTTTCAATTTCATCTTAACACCATTAAATGTGTCAATTCAGTGAAAAGTATACATAAAAATATTTATGTCTGAAAGTAAATATATTGAAACTAGGTACCATAAAAATGGAAATTCAGTAAAAATGTAATATATATTCCAAAACTACCCAACCCATCTCTTTGTAAACTCTATTTGATTTCTCTATCTTTTGCCACAAAAGTAAGAAATTATACAATAATAATAATTTGCAATCTCGAGTGTCAAAAGTATAGGCTTAAGAGTTAAGTATCTACACTTAAAACTTACTGCATGTAAAATATTTTAGCAACCCAGTAAGTTCTTTAAGTCAGGTACATAATTAAAGTAACAGACATTTTGTTCAGGTTTACTGAGTCTTCCAGTTATTCATCCAAATATAGGAGTCAGTTGTAAAGTAATCGATTTTTTTGCTGTGGAAAATTAGTATATTAGTGGTGGTCATATATTTATTGACTTTATGTCTAGATGGAAAAATGGAAGGCTAGTCTGCATATTAAAGTATAGTGAGAGAAACTACAGAGCTTGACCATTCCCTTTTAAAACAATTATTTACTTCATCTCTTTACCATGTGAGTATAGCACCCAGAGTTTGTATCTGACACCTAAATGTCAATTTAACCTTCAGGCTTCACAAATTTCATTCACATTAAACTACATCCCTTAAGTACAGAATGTCACAGGGTCTAATGCATGCTCTAGATCTTTAGTTATAATCACCCTGCTGTTAGAAAAAATATATAATATTACAGTGTTTATATTGTGGGCATTGAGGGCATAAATAAATTATATTTCTTAGATGAGTCACTTAAAAATAAGCAAGTTCAGTGAGTACTAGTTTTGAGCCTATAAAGCAGCAAAAAATGATTGGAATGAAATCAGGGTATGGAAAGATCAAAATGAAAGTTCAGGCTAAATGATGCCTTTTTTCATTCAAGTAAATGTCAGATATCGGTTTCTGAACACTGCCCTGATTTTTAAGAAGTAAGTCATGGATACAGTGGGTAATATGATGAATATAAAGATTATAAAACTTTGGGAATTAATAAAATTCTTCGTTGCAGAAAAGAGGGTGATTACTTTTTGCACAGGGGACCTAGGGGTCATTTAGAGAGGCTGGCTTAGGAAGTGTAGCCCTTTCAGTGGCATTTCACTCTATAATATTTAAAAAGCCATTTTTACAGACCAGTTTCTTTAGCTGAAGTCAAGTGGAATGCAGAAATAGTTCTACAAAAAAAAAAAAAAAGTCAGAAGGGATATACTTCTTTCAGTATTTACTTTTGTTACAACCACCCACAGAATTTTATCGATCTGAACACCAGGAGCAATTTGATGGTCCCTAATCAGAGAAGTACAAGTGAAACAAGTGAAGCAATAGAACAATAACAAAGGTTACTGGCTGGCCGCGGTGGCTTACGCTTGTAATCCCAGCACTTTGGGAGGCCAAGGTGGGCGGATCACAAGGTCAGGAGTTTGAGACCAGCCTGGCCAATATGGTGAAACCCCGTGTCTATTAAAAATACGAAGATTAGCCTGTCGTGGTGGGGGGAGCCTGTAGTCCCAGCTACTCGGTAGGCTGAGGCAGGAGAATCGCTTTAACCTTGGAGGTGGAGGTTGCAGTGAGCCGAGATCACGCCACTGCATTCCAGCCTGGACAGCAGAGCAAGACTCCATCTCAAAAAAAAAAAAAAAAAAAAAAAAAAGAAAAGGTTACTAAGCCAAACTTCATTTCCAGCATACATGCTAGGTATCCTGGAGGTAATCTATATTATAAACCATCAGTATCAGATCGTAAGTTGTACAGACACCAAGTATGCAGAGAGTTGCCCAGACATGCTTGCATTTCATTTCTAATGCTTCTAAGAGTAATGTATTACTGCATTTAGAATCTTCATAGGATTACTGATAATTTTGATCATTTTAGTCTAATAAAAGTGGAGTTTTATGGCTCATTTTAATTAGGGTGGATAATCAGTATTGCCTTCTTTATTACTTTTAAGCAAATATCAGCAAAACAAAACAAACTTGAAGACTGACATGTACTTTATAATCAAGGATTATCCCAGAAAACACAAAAAGTTTATAAGTAAAATTCAGAGTACCGATTTCACTAGACTAGACATTATGCCTCCAGAGCAAATACAGTTATAAAAAACCCTTAAAAAATCATTGCTTTATGCTTCCATTTAGTTTAATATAAAATTTAATGTAATTTTAAGAGAAGATGGCTTAGTTTTATATTTATGACAGTTAAAAAACACCAGCCTTTGTAAAGCCAAATGCACACAACAATACCTGACTAACACTGTCCAATAGGATATACGCAAAGGTTAATATTAGAATCCCAACTCCAAATGGTTTGAATAGGAATACATTAATTAGCTCACTTCAAAATCTGGAGGTATGGCTATTTAAACAATTGTTAATTCAGAAGCATTAAAATCAGCATGCATTATGTAGGATTCGTTGTTTTGTTTTTCATCAATCTACTCTGCTGTTCTCAGTATGACAAGGGTGTGGACAAATAGAAGCTCTCCTTAGAAGAAAGGAAACAAATGTTAAGTAGATAATCATGTATGTCTTTCATAATAACAATACTAGAAACAGCTGGTTTATTAGGAAAAACTTTGAATCAATAAACTGATTCTACTCCTCCTACAAACCCAATAAAAGGAAAATATAATTATTTAAAATAAGAAGGTTAGACATATTTCCCACTGAAGAGATGGCCTAGCATTGATTTTTGTTTGTTTTGTTTTTTGAGATGGAGTTTTGCCCTTGTCACCCAGACTGGAGTGCAATGGCATGATCTCAAATTACTGCAACCTCTGCCTCCCTGGTTCAAGCAATTCTCCTGCCTCAGCCTCCTGAGTAGCTGGGATTACAGGTGCCCGCCATCTCGCCTGGCTAATTTATTTTATTTTATTTTATTTTATTTTATTTTATTTTATTTTATTTTATTTTATTTTATTTGTATTTTTACTAGACGGGGTTTCACCACGTTTGCCAGGCTGGTCTTGAACTCCTGACCTCAGGTGATCCACCTGCCTCAGCCTCCCAAATTGCTGGGGTTACAGGTGTAAGCCACCGAGCCCGGCTGTCATTGATTTTTTTTAAAGCTAGTTGGCCCCAGAAAGTAGGGCAGGATTCGAAAGTATTTTTAATAATATCCTATCTGTCATAAATTTGAAATAAACTGAACTAAAATATATGTGAGTGATTTGAACAGAGCTGATATGCCTCCACTTTTGACTTTAAATCCTGACTATTATTTTTTAACCTTTGATTTTAAACCTTTAAGAGAAGCGTTTTATGTTTATATAGCATATTCAATTTAGAGAAAAAGACACAGTCTATAAATGGATTTACTAACTATAGGCTGTGTTTTGCACTTAACTATTCACCATTATATTTCTCTTTGAGAGTCTTAGGGAAAAAAAATGTAATTTCTCCTAGTACTAAAATAAACTCAGTCATGTCTGTTGGGCTATTTGGAAGCTATTCAATTGTATAAATTAACACTCAGTAACAGCTTAGAATTGCCCCAAAACATTTTAACTATAGAAACACATAAAAAGTTTTTTGCTTATATCTAACAGGAGAGAGAGTAGAAGAGGAGAGAAGAGAGGAAGGAAGAAAAGGAGAGAAGATGAGAAAAAAAAGCAAGTAGTGTCTTAAATGGGAGAAAAAGTGATAAGGAAATAGTTTAATTTATTAAAGTCAAAGTTCAATAAAAGTAAATTAACTGCTTTAATATGTAAAGTATTTTAACAAATGAATCACAAAAGGCTGTGAAGTTAATTATGGATCCTCAAAATGCATATTTGAAAAGAATTGTCTACTTTGGATTAGAAATACATAATATTTATTATTGTAGTACCAGAATCCTCATCTTTACTCAAGTAATTCCCTAGGCTTTTTATATAAGCAATAAAAATTCTAATACATTGCTGTTTCTGAGATTAAAATAAAATCCAGTAGTTTTGAATCAATCAGAAACAAAATCAAATACCTCTTAGATTTAATTGTGTGGGTATTATCTTAAAGAGAAGCAGGGTGACGCATTGAAAAGACTATATTTTTTCAGCATGCGAACCTTGGTTTAAATGTGCTACTTGTTATGTAAAAATTGAAAGAAAAAAGAAAACAATTTTCTTTGGTTAACAAATGTGAATTTCATTTATTTATCTGAAAAATTACAATAATAAAACATACGTTTGTTACCTATGTATATGTGAATATATATATAAACACACATATATACCTGTGTGTATCAGACAGAATTTATGTGTTTCATGTATAGACAGAAGTTTGTACATGTAAAAACAAAAATTTTATTCAATAATATGTTATTTAAAATTAAAATTGATTGTGACTTGTATTAATCAGTGCCTTAATATTCACAGCTTATTTTCATTCATCCATCATACCTAATAATCTTAAAATTATTAGAATATGTATATGAAATTAAAAAAACTCAATGTTATCCAAAATTTGCTACACACATACAGGAAAAAAGTCAAGAATCAAGAACAGCAAACCAAAAAGCAAGCAGTTCAATATAACCTATTTTACATAATTCTACTTTATGTAGACATAGAAAGATCAATTCTTTTTAACCAACTTAGCTTCTAACGTGGTTAAGAATACATTTAGGAAATTCTAAGTAGCTTGATATATACCTACTGAATATTTATTTCCATTCAGTTATAGTATATATTTGAAAATAATAAGGTCAAAACTATGCTAGATGTTTGCCACACATGATATATTAGTTCGTTCTCACATTTTTATAAATAACTACCTGAGACTGAGTAGTATATAAAGTAAACAGGTTTAATTGACTCACAGTTCCACAGGCTGTGAAGGAGGCATGGCTGGGGAGGCCTCAAGAAACTTGCAATCATGGTGGAAGGTGAAAAGGAAGCAAGCACATCTTCACTTGGCAATGAGAGAGAGAGAATCCAAAGGGAAAAGTGCCACACACTTTTAAATAATCTGATCTCATGAGAACTCACTCACTATCGTGAGAACAAGGGGAAAATCTGCCCCCATGATCCATTCACCTCCCACCAGGTCCCTCAACATTGGGAATTACAATTTAACATGAGTTTTGGGTGGAGACACAAATCCAAACAATATCATATAAGAATTTATAAATAATGTTTTCTGATTTAGATAGCACTGAATTTAATTAAATACTAAATAAAGATATCTGACTCTTTGGAAAGTTTATTTTTAGTGTTAGCTAAAATTCAGAGAACTTGCTCCATAATAATTGTAATTTTTCCAGGCAGGATGCACTGTAGGCCTAAATTCCTTATGGTTGATCTTAAATAACTCTGACTTGTAATTCAGATAATTTAAGTGGAAAACAAATATTGAGTCAATATTCTTTCCCTATGATGGTTGACATAATTGATCAACACTGAACAATGAAACAGCTTCTTGTTGCCTGGAGGGTATGACATATGCAAAGATCCACCTCAATTCCAGGCTTAGGTACCTGGTTTAAGCTCACTGTTTATAAACATAATAAACAAACGCATAAGCACTGAATTTATTTTTATGTGATAGGCCAATTTGGAGCATTTGATTTCTGTAGAGCATGATACTCATGTTGGATTTTATAGGTTAGAAAAGCCAATGATACTGTAGAGCATTTGTAGGATGTGAGTAGGTATTCATTTTAACTGCAAAGGACTTATATTAAAGTCTGCTTTCATCTGTATATAACTCTCCTTCTTCCTCCAAACTATTGTAGAAACAAACCTGTAAAGCCTAGGTAAGTAATGGATATATATCATGAATATGAATCTGTTCTCTTGGGAGATTTCTGAGTTTTACGTTCCTTAAACCAAAATAAAACCTTCCTTTACTAGGATTGTGGAAAGACATACACACACACACACACACACACACATATACATATATACACACATTTATACATATATATACATACATCTCCACACTGTTGTCCTACTCATTCTCTCATTCTCTCTCTTTGTCTCTCATATTACTGCAGCACATATTTGTTGAAAACTCCTCGCCTAACATGAATACTGTATTTTAAATTTGGTAGACTCTGCAAGGCTACCATGAGAGCATCATAAGAGCCCTAACTATTCTGCCAGTTTTAAGTGATTCTCAAAATATTGGGTGGGTCATAGACAACCATAGGTCTCTTTAACAATCACTACATAATAGATTATTTTCTTGGCTTCTATTGGCTCTAATATAATGTGATTGGAATAAACAATTCTTAATCACTATGTTAATCAGCTCTGCATGCTTATCAGTCCTGTAATATGGTACTTTTTGAAAAGCCAGTCTTGGATTCATAATCATAGGGTCAGTTCTTTCTTATATGATATTTTATGGGTTCCATTTCATGTTGAATAGAGAAGCTGAAACTTCCTAAGGTAATTATGGATTTGTCCAAATAAATAGCTTTGATCTCTAAAATCTAAAATCCAAAATTTGGATCAGAGACAAATCTAGCATAGATTAGAAAATTTGACCAAAGTATTACTGTATATTAATAAGCCCCCACATCTGAATAATATAATCTGAAGAATCTAATTGAAATCTTATTTACCAAAACATTCAAATTCCAGTCTCATTTAGCTATTGGTTTACTAGGCATGTGACCCCAAATCTTAGAACCAGAGAAAGCTGAGATGACTGTATTGGCCTAATGCTATATTTAAATGACAGAGTAATAAGCTCAGTTTGTTTACATAGATAGAATGCCCTTGAAAAACAGTAACAGATTTCATATAATTAATCTTTATATCATATGTTTAGGCAAAACGAGTTATCATGAGATTCAGTCAATTATTCATTCAATATATACATAATTAATGCCATATGTAGCGGGTATTCTATTGACATTATGGCAATTAGATATGGAGTAATTATTACATATTTATTTCCTGATTTTTATTATGAGACAATATCTCAACCAAGTTTACAAAAGTGACATTTATCCAGAAATGGAACACAGATTTTTCAAATCACAACCAATAGCCGACTTATGTCCCATTTCAGAAACCCTGCATCTTCAACGAACATTGAGCAAACATCACTATCATATCAGCACTTTTCTTCATGCACATAACTTAAATAGAGAAATACTTTAGTGTCTCTGGAATATAACTCTTCACACAATGCCAATCTTTTAATATACTTCCTGGAAGCTATAATTGTATGTTACTATTCTCTGTAATTCTTATCTAATAAATTTATGTTTTTGTTACACTATAACTACTAATCATAATACTGGGAAAATGATGTGTTAAGGCAAGGTTAGAATTAAAAACTGTTCTTTCAAAGACTGTGGTGGACAAAAATTTCTTTTCATTCTACTTATTTATAGGCCCTTCTTTCAGCTTTTATGTGACAGAATAACGGCCCTTACATAACTTAATGAGTGAGAAATAAGTGCTGTAGGACAATCAAGAAGAAATTGAAGCAATATCTAGAAAGATTCTCACACAAAGAACTAGAGCATTGTGAAGATCTGCATAGGTAATACCAAACCCTTAAGGAAAAATGATTCCTGTCCCATATAAACTAATCATTCTTTAAAAAGAGGATACTCTTGCTACCAGAAAAGAACAGTACACTGAAAGAACATTATAAGGTCCTCTAACTTGGGAAGATGACTTCAAAAGTGTTAACCAAAATGTTGGCAAATCAAATAAAATATTAATATAATTTATGAAATAACCTCCATGATCTCATTAATTTTCTAATTCTTATAGGCTCAGAGCAATAATTGCATTATATTTTGTAACCAGTTTTCATACTACATATGTTGTTTAATCTGTAAGTATATCAAATTTATGTTTTCAAAGTTAATAGAAAAAAATTATAGAATTGATTTTTTAGAAATTCCTGCTGCAAATAGCTATCATTATTAGTGCTTAATATAGATCATATTTTTTAGTAAAATAACAAAGGTAATTGGTATGTGTTCTAAACTAAAATCATCTAACCTTTTCGTATAGAGTTTGCCTATCAGAACATAAAAACAAATATTCAAACAGCAGCAACAACCAACAACAACACAAAGCCAGTAAAATACAGCAAATATATTTAAGAAAGGGCAGTTATACCTGCTTTAGAAAGTTATTTTTCGGAGGGGAGGAGCCAAGATGGCCGAATAGGAACAGCTCCGGTCTACAGCTCCCAGCGTGAGCGACGCAGAAGACGGGTGATTTCTGTATTTCCATCTGAGGTACCGGGTTCATCTCACTAGGGAGTGCCAGACAGTGGGCGCAGGTCAGTGGGTGCACGCACCGTGCGCGAGCCGAAGCAGGGTGAGGCATTACCTCACTCGGGAAGCGCAAGGGGTCAGGGAGTTCCCTTTCCTAGTCAAAGAAAGGGGTGAGGGACGGCACCTGGAAAATCGGGTCACTCCCACCCGAATACTGCGCTTTTCTGACGGGCTTAAAAAACGGTGCATCACGAGATTATATCCCGCACCTGGCTCGGAGGGTCCTACGCCCACGGAGTCTCGCTGATTGCTAGCACAGCAGTCTGAGATCAAACTGCAAGGCGGCAGCGAGGCTGGGGGAGGGGCGCCCGCCATTGCCCAGGCTTGATTAGGTAAACAAAGCAGCCAGGAAGCTCAAACTGGGTGGAGCCCACCACAGCTCAAGGAGGCCTGCCTGCCTCTGTAGGCTCCCCCTCTGGGGGCAGGGCACAGACAAACAAAAAGACAGCAGTAACCTCTGCAGACTTAAATGTCCCTGTCTGACAGCTTTGAAGAGAGCAGTGGTTCTCCCAGCACGCAGCTGGAGATCTGAGAACGGGCAGACTGCCTCCTCAAGTGGGTCCCTGACCCCTGACCCCCGAGCAGCCTAACTAGGAGGCACCCCCCAGCAGGGGCACACTGACACCTCACATGGCAGGGTATTCCAACAGACCTGCAGCTGAGGGTCCTGTCTGTTAGAAGGAAAACTAACAAACAGAAAGGATATCCACACCAAAAACCCATCTGTACATCACCATCATCAAAGACCAAACGTAGATAAAACCACAAAGATGGGGAAAAAACAGAACAGAAAAACTGGAAACTCTAAAAAGCAGAGCACCTCTCCTCCTCCAAAGGAATGCAGTTCCTCACCAGCAATGGAACAAAGCTGGATGGAGAACGACTTTGACGAGCTGAGAGAAGAAGGCTTCAGACGATCAAATTACTCTGAGCTATGGGAGGACATTCAAACCAAAGGCAAAGAAGTTGAAAACTTTGAAAAAAATTTAGAAGAATGTATAACTAGAATAACCGATACAGAGAAGTGCTTAAAGGAGCTGATGGAGCTGAAAACCAAGGCTCGAGAACTACGTGAAGAATGCAGAAGCCTCAGGAGCCGATGCGATCAACTGGAAGAAAAGGTATCAGCGATGGAAGATGAAATGAATGAAATGAAGTGAGAAGGGAAGTTTAGAGAAAAAAGAATAAAAAGAAATGAGCAAAGCCTCCAAGAAATATGGGACTATGTGAAAAGACCAAATCTACGTCTGATTGGTGTACCTGAAAGTGACGGGGAGAATGGAACCAAGTTGGAAAACACTCTGCAGGATATTGTCCAGGAGAACTTCCCCAATCTAGCAAGGCAGGCCAACGTTCAGATTCAGGAAATACAGAGAACACCACAAAGGTACTCCTTGAGAAGAGCAACTCCAAGACACATAATTGTCAGATTCACCAAAGTTGAAATGAAGGAAAAAATGTTAAGGGCAGCCAGAGAGAAAGGTCGGGTTACCCTCAAAGGGAAGCCCATCAGACTAACAGCGGATCTCTTGGCAGAAACCTTACAAGCCAGAAAAGAGTGGGGGCCAATATTCAACATTCTTAAATAAAAGAATTTTCAACCCAGAATTTCATATCCAGCCAAAATAAGCTTCATAAGTGAAGGAGAAATAAAATACTTTACAGACAAGCAAATGCTGAGAGATTTTGTCACCACCAGGCCTGCCCTAAAAGAGGTCCTGAAGGAAGCGCTAAACATGGAAAGGAACAACCGGTATCAGCTGCTGCAAAATCATGCCAAAATGTAAAGACCATCGAGACTAGGAAGAAACTGCATCAACTAATGAGCAAAATAACCAGCTAACATCATAATGACAGGATCAAATTCACACATAACAATATTAACTTTAAATGTAAATGGACTAAATGCTCCAATTAAAAGACACAGACTGGCAAATTGGATAAAGAGTCAAGACCCATCAGTGTGCTGTATTCAGGAAACCCATCTCACGTGCAGAGACACACATAGGCTCAAAATAAAGGGATGGAGGAAGATCTACCAAGCAAATGGAAAACAAAAAAAGGCAGGGGTTGCAATCCTAGTCTCTGATATAACAGACTTTAAACCAATAAAGATCAAAAGAGACAAAGAAGGCCATTGCATAATGGTAAAGGGATCAATTCAACAAGAAGAGCTAACTATCCTAAATATATATGCACCCAATACAGGAGCACCCAGATTCATAAAGCAAGTCCTGAGTGACCTACAAAGAGACTTAGACTCCCACACATTAATAATGGGAGACTTTAACAACCCACTGTCAACATTAAACAGATCAACGAGACAGAAAGTCAACAAGGATACCCAGGAATTGAACTCAGCTCTGCACCAAGCGGACCTAATAGACATCTACAGAACTCTCCACCCCAAATCAACAGAATATACATTTTTTTCAGCACCACACCACACCTATTCCGAAATTGACCACATACTTGGAAGTAAAGCTCTCCTCAGCAAATGTAAAAGAACAGAAATTATAACAAACTATCTCTCAGACCACAGTGCAATCAAACTAGAACTCAGGATTAAGAATCTCACTCAAAACTGCTCAACTACATGGAAACTGAACAACCTGCTCCTGAATGACTACTGGGTACATAACGAAATGAAGGCAGAAATAAAGACATTCTTTGAAACCAATGAGAACAAAGACACAACATACCAGAATCTCTGGGACGCATTCAAAGCAGTGTGTAGAGGGAAATTTATAGCACTAAATGCCCACAAGAGAAAGCAGGAAAGATCCAAAATTGACACCCTAACATCACAATTAAAAGAATTACAAAAGCAAGAGCAAACACATTCAAAAGCTAGCAGAAGGCAAGAAATAACTAAGATCAGAGCAGAACTGAAGGAAACAGAGACACAAAAAACCCTTCAAAAAATTAATGAATCCAGGAGCTGGTTTTTTGAAAGGATCAACAAAATAGATAGACCACTAGCAAGACTAATAAAGAAAAAAAGAGAGAAGAATCAAATAGACACAATAAAAAATGATAAAGGGGATATCACCACCGATCCCACAGAAATACAAACTACCATCAGAGAATACTACAAACACCTCTACGCAAATAAACTAGAAAATCTAGAAGAAATGGATAAATTCCTTGACACATACACTCTCCCAAGACTAAACCAGGAAGAAGTTGAATCTCTGAATAGACCAATAACAGGATCTGAAATTGTGGCAATAATCAATAGCTTACCAACCAAAAAGAGTCCAGGACCAGATGGATTAACAGCCGAATTCTACCAGAGGTACAAGGAGGAACTGGTACCATTCCTTCTGAAACTATTCCAATCAATAGAAAAAGAGGGAATCCTCCCAAACTCATTTTATGAGGCCAGCATCATTCTGATACCAAAGCCTGGCAGAGACACAACCAAAAAACAGAATTTTAGACCAATATCCTTGATGAACATTGATGCAAAAATCCTCAATAAAATACTGGCAAAATGAATCCAGCAGCACATCAAAAAGCTTATCCACCATGATCAAGTGGGCTTCATCCCTGGGATGCAAGGCTGGTTCAATATATGCAAATCAATAAATGTAATCCAGCATATAAAGAGAGCCAAAGACAAAAACCACATATTTATCTCAATAGATGCAGAAAAGGCCTTTGACAAAATTCAACAACCCTTCATGCTAAAAACTCTCAATAAATTAGGTATTGATGGGACGTATTTCAAAATCATAAGAGCTATCTATGACAAACCCACAGCCAATATCATACTGAATGGGCAAAAACTGGAAGCATTCCCTTTGAAAACTGGCACAAGACAGGGATGCCCTCTCTCACCACTCCTATTCAACAGAGTGTTGGAAGTTCTGGCCAGGGCAATTAGGCAGGAGAAGGAAATAAAGGGTATTCAGTTAGGAAAAGAGGAAGTCAAATTGTTCCTGTTTGCAGACGACATGATTGTGTATCTAGAAAACCCCATTGTCTCAGCCCAAAATCTCCTTAAGCTGATAAGCAACTTCAGCAAAGTCTCAGGATACAAAATCAATGTACAAAAATCACAAGCATTCTTATACACCAACAACAGACAAACAGAGAGCCAAATCATGAGTGAACTCCCATTCACAATTGCTTCAAAGAGAATAAAATACCTAGGAATCCAACTTACAAGGGATGTGAAGGACCTCTTCAAGGAGAACTACAAACCACTGCTCAATGAAATAAAAGAGGATACAAACAAATGGAAGAACATTCCATGCTCATGGGTAGGAGGAATCAATATCGTGAAAATGGCCATACTGCCCAAGGTAATTTACAGATTCAATGCCATCCCCATCAAGCTACCAATGACTTTCTTCACAGAATTGGAAAAAACTACTTGAAAGTTCATATGGAACCAAAAAAGAGCCCGCATTGCCAAGTCAATCCTAAGCCAAAAGAACGAAGCTGGAGGCATCACACTACCTGACTTCAAACTATACTACAAGGCTACAGTAACCAAAACAGCATGGTACTGGTACCAAAACAGAGATATAGATCAATGGAACAGAACAGAGCCCTAAGAAATAACACCGCATATGTACAACTATCTGATCTTTGACAAACCTGAGAAAAACAAGCAATGGGGAAAGCATTCCCTATTTAATAAATGATGCTGGGAAAACTGGCTAGCCATATGTAGAAAGCTGAAACTGGATCCCTTCCTTACACCTTATACAAAAATCAATTCAAGATGGATTAAAGACTTAAATGTTAGACCTAAAACCATAAAAACCCTAGAAGAAAACCTAGGCAATACCATTCAGGACATAGGCATGGGCAAGGACTTCATGTCGAAAACACCAAAAGCAATGGCAACGAAAGACAAAATTGACAAATGGGATCTAATTAAACTAAAGAGCTTCTGTACAGCAAAAGAAACTACCATCAGAGTGAACAGGCAACCTACAAAATGGGAGAAAATTTTCGCAACCTACTCATCTGACAAAGGGCTAATATCCAGAATCTACAAAGAACTCAAACAAATTCACAAGAAAAAAACAAACAACCCCATCGAAAAGTAGGCGAAGGACATGAACAGACATTTCTCAAAAGAAGACATTTATGCAGCCAAAAAACACATGAAAAAATGCTCATCATCACTGGCCATCAGAGAAATGCAAATCAAAACCACAATGAGATACCATCTCACACCAGTTAGAATGGCAATCATTGAAAAGTCAGGAAACAACAGGTGCTGGAGAGGATGTGGAGAAATAGGAACACTTTTACACTGTTGGTGGGACTGTAAACTAGTTCAACCATTGTGGAAGTCAGTGTGGCAATTCCTCAGGGATCTGAAACTAGAAATACCATTTGACCCAGCCATCCCATTACTGGGTATATACCCAAAGGACTATAAATCATGCTGCTATAAAGACACATGCACACGTATGTTTTTTGCGGCACTATGCACAATAGCAAAGACTTGGAACCAACCCAAATGTCCAACAATGAGAGACTGGATTAAGAAAATGTGGCACATATACACCATGGAATACTATGCAGCCATAAAAAATGATGAGTTCACGTCCTTTGTAGGGACATGGATGAAATTGGAAATCATCATTCTCAGTAAACTATCGCAAGAACAAAAAACCAAACACCGCATATTCTCACTCATAGGTGGGAATTGAACAATGAGATCACATGGACACAGGAAGGGGAACATCACACTCTGGGGACTGTTGTGGGGTGGGGGGAGGGGGGAGGGATAGCATTGGGAGATATACCTAATGCTGGATGACGAGTTAGTGGGTGCAGCGCACCAGCGTGGCACATGTATACATATGTAACTAACCTGCACAATGTGCACATGTACCCTAAAACTTAAAGTATAATAATAAAAGAAAAAAAAAAGAAAGTTATTTTTCATACACCAATAAAACACATATTACATGATACATTGAAACACAAGTTCCAAAATCACTTGCTTACTCCTAGTCATTGGAGGTAATTGTATTTTTTAAACACTAGGTCTAAATAGCGTTTACCAAGAATTTAGATACCTATAGAAATTTTTGAAGAACTTAACGATGCTCACTATTTAGAATGAACCAAAAGACTCATCCAACAATGACCTGATTTTATGGGAAAAGCCCAGAGGAAGCACAAGTTTGGTTCAAGGAAACAAAAGGGGAAGGTAGGTGTCAGAGAAGATTCTAAGATAATCAGCATCTAGTATTCTGATTGTCTTCTTCTATAACACAATCATCACCAGATTTAAATCTATGTTTCTCTGTAGTGAAGAATGTATAATAAAGAGTGAATAAAAATTAAAATTATCTCTTTGAGTAAAATATTTTGGCAAAGTGAGGTTAAAAAACAAAAACAGCTGTATCATCAGCAAAACTGGCAGAAATGCTTGAAAATTGGACTCTCTACAAGAAGCTGGAGTTTTGGAGGCAACACAGCAAATTGTGTCATTCTACAGCAAACACAACCTAGATACACTATTGTATTGTTAACAACAATGGATAGTGAGACGAGCCTGAGAGTAAGAGGTTGGAAGCTAAATCACAGCCCAATAAAAGGTGAACTTCCTTCACACTAGAGCATGTTACATTGTTCCTAAAAACTCACTTGTAGCCCTAATTTTTAGCTCATGTTTGGCAGATACTGACTAGTCCTACATTTAAAACAATCTAAATGCATAACATTTTTTTCCATTATGAGTCTATTTTAACCATCTATGATGGAAACTTCAATAATATCATTAAATTTTATTTTATTTTTACCTTTACTCTTTTTAAAACAGGCTATGACAGTCAAATATCAAAGTTATAAATAAATTGAGTAAAGTTGTAGGATCCAAAATCAACATACAAAAATCAGTAGCATTTTTTATACACCAACAGCAAACAATCTAAAAAAGTAATCGTAAAAGTAATTCCACTTACAATAGCTACATTTAAAACAAAATACCTAGGAATAAACTTAACCAAAAAAGTGAAAGATTTCAATAATGAAATGATAAAATGTTGATGTAAGAAATTGAAGACACAAAAAGTTAAAAGTTATTCCATCTTCATAAATTGGAAAAATCGATATTGTTCAAATGTCTACATTACTAAAAACTCTCTACAGATTCAATGCAATCTTTATCACAATGCCAATGACATTCTTCACAGAAATAGAAAACAATAATATTAAAATTTTTATGGAACCACAAATGACCCAGAATAGCCAACGCCATTCTCAGCAAAAAGAACAAAACAGGAGAAATTACATTATCTGGCTTAAAATTATACTGTAGAGCAATTCTAACAAAAACAGCATGATGTTGGCACAAAAACAGACACATAGATAAATGGAATGGGTTCCAGAAAAATATCCACACACCTACAATGAAATCATTTTGAAAAAGGTGCCAAGAACATATATTGGAGAAAACACAATCTCTTCAATGCATGTTAATGGAAAAACTGGAAATCATATGCAGAAGAATGAAACTAGACCCCTATCTCACCATATAAAAAATCAAAATTTATTAATGATATAAATCTAAGACCACAAACTGTGAAACATCTAAAAGAAAGCATTGTAAAAACTCTCCAGGACATTGGTCTAAGCAGAGATTTTTTTTGAGTAATATCTCATAAGCACAGGTAACCAAAACAAAAATGTACAAATAAGACCATATCAATTTAAAAAGCTTCTGCACAGCAAAGGAAACATAGTGAAGAGACAACCCAAAAAATGAGAGAAAATATTTGCAAACTATCTTACAAAAAATTAGTAACCAGAATACATAGAGAGCTCAAAAAATTGAATAGGAAAAATCTAATAATCTGTTTCAAAACTGGGCAAAAAATCTGAATAGATATGTCTCAAAAAAAGACATACAGATGGCAGATAGGTATATGAAAAGGTACTCAATACCATTGATCATCAGAGAAATGCAATTCAAAACTACCATGTGATATTATCTCATCCTAGTTAAAACGACTATTATCCAGAAGACAGGCAATAATGAATGCTGGCGATAATGTGTCTGAGGTAGAAAAGGGAACCCTCATACACCATTGATGAAAGTGCAAATTAGTATATCCATTACGGAGAACAGTATGGAAGTTCCTCAAAAATCTACCAGTAAAATCACCATGTGATCCAGTAATCCCACTGCTAGGTATATACCAAAAAGAAAGGAAATCATTATGTCAACAATACAGCTGCATGCCCGTGTTTATTGCAGCACTATGCACAATAGCCAAGATTTGCAAGCAACTTCAATGTTCATCAACAGATGAACGCACAAAGAAAATGTGGTATGTATACCGAAAAAAGTACTATTCATCCATAAAAGAAAATGAGATTCTGTCATTTGCAACAACATAGATGGAAAATATGTTAAATGAATTAAGCCATGCACAGAAAGACAAACTGCGTGTTCGTAAACTGTTGTGGAAGCTAAAAATTGAAACCACTGAACTCATGGAGATAGAGAGCAGAAATGATGGTTACCAGAAGCTGAAAAGGGTAGTGAGGTGGGTGCGGAAGTGAGGATGGTTAATGGATACACAAATATAGTTAGAAAGAATGAATAAGATGTAGTATTTGAAAGCACAAAAGAATGATTACGGTCAACAATAATTTATTGTACACTTTAAAATAACAAAAAGAATATAGTAAACACATCTTTGGGATTATTTCCTCTCTTTAAGAATGCAAAGGGTTCCCAAGACCAAAAATTTTGAGAACTGTTGTTTTAAAAAAATATATTTGCTGAAAGAATTTTGTGTGCAAAAGATTAAAACAGCCACAATAAATGACATAATGTAAGAATGCATAGATATTTTGCTTGATACTTGCATTAATGATGTAGAGAATGTTTTGTTAAAAGGCTGTGATATCATTATAAAATGATTGGTATTAAATATAAAATGTAGAATTAACCTATCATAAGAAATACACAGACTCCTATACCAACTGAAATAATCCCGCAACTGACGTGATAAGTGAAAATACTTTTTAATATATGTAGATACTTTATCTTAAAATCATAAATTAGATAATATCTTTACAATCATTTTAATATTTTTATTTATTTTAATAAATATACCACACATATGTTTACCCTGATGTGATTATTACACATTGTATGCCTGTATCAAGATATCTCATGTATCCCATAAATATATACATCTACAATATACCCATGTGGTATATAGTTATCAATTTTAATTGTAATGGAAATTTTAAAATGATATTTTTAAAATATTTATTTATAAATTAATTTTAATATACCAATAATCCTATTACCTACTAACATAACACATTTTAAAAACTATCTTTTATAAAGCAACAAAACATTACTAAGATGGGCCGGGTGCGGTGGCTCATGCCTTTAATCTCGGCACTTTGGGAGGCCAAGGCAGGCGGATCACCTGAGGTCAAGAGTGCAAGACCAGCCTGGTGAAATTCCATCTCTATTAACGTTACAAAAATTAGCCGGCCATGGTGCCGCATGCCTGTAATCCCAGCTACTTGGGAGGCTGAGGTGGAAGAATCGCTTGAACCTGGGATATGGAGGTTGCAATGAGCCGAGGTCATGCCACTGCACTCCAGCCTGGGCCACAGAGCAAGATTGCTTCAAAAAAAAAAAAAAAAGAAAAGAAAAGGAAAAAAAAAGAAAAAGAAAAGAAAAAAATTACTAAGAGGAATGATATTGTTTTACATTTTTGAAAATGTGCTTGGCCAGTGCCCTAGCGCACGCCTCTAATCCCAGCATTTTGGGAGACGGAAGCAGGCGGATCCCTTGAGGTCAAGAGTTAGAGACCAGCCTGGCCAACATGGTAAAACCCTGTCTCTACTAAAAATACCAAAATTAGCCGGGTGCGGTGGTGCACGCGCACCTGCAATCCTAGATACTCGGGAGGCTGAGGCAGGAGAATTACTTGAACTTAAGAGGCGGAGCCAAGATCACGTCACTACACTCCAGCCTGGGTGACAGAGCGGGACTCCGTGTCAAAACAAAAGAAAAGAATAGAAAATCTACTTCAATTCGGCTCAATACAGGATAACTTGATTCTTATATCCGTTTGTGCCTTCAATCTCTTACAAAAGGTGTGTGAACTGAAGGATGTAAAGGATATTCAGGAAAAGGAACAGCAATTTATAATCTTTTGTGATCATTGTAGATATTTATCCGATATAAGCTAAAACTAGAGAAGTGGAATCTGAAAATCCATACTCAATTATATTGAAATATATTGAAATTAATATGTCTCTTCCTCTGTGAATGGATCTGTTACCCATGTACTTTTTTTTGAGATGGAGTCCTGCTCTGTCGCCGAGGCTGGAGTACAGCGGCGCGATCTCTGCTCGCTGCAATCTCCGCCTTCCGAGTTCACGCCATTCTCCTGCCACAGCCTCCGAAGTAGCTGGGACTACAGGCGCCCGCCACCACGCCCGGCTAATTTTTTTGCATTTTTAGTAGAGACGGGGTTTCACCGTGTTAGCCAGGATGGTCTTGATCTCCTGACCTCGTGACCCGCCCGCCTCGGCCTTCCAAAGTGCTGGGATTACAGGCGTGAGCCACCGCGCCCGGCCTACCCATGTATTTTTTTGTCATTGGTTACTTTGGAAAATATTGTGCAACTTAGTTAAACAGTTCTTTCAAAAGATGACCTCACATTTTAAAATATCACCATTGATTTCAAAGAAATCAATCAAAAACGCAAATTTTATTTTTAAGTTTACTTATCAAAAATAAAAATTTTATTTTTGAACAACACTGAAATGTCATTAGCTCACAGTTTCCAAAACTTTAATTTTTTCCCAAGACATTTATTATCTCATTAGCAAGGAGCACAGAAAATAGCTTTCCTGGAAGATAGTGGTTCATTTTATATTTTCAAGAAAATATTTGTAAAATACCATAGTCTCATTTATCATTATTTGTCAAGACATTATTTCAATAAAACTGGTCTTCCTTGAAAAAAAAAAAACAGTTTCTACTTCAGCTTGCAACGCAGTTACACCTAGATATAACCAGCAGAAGTCTTTGAAGTGTACTTCATAATTCTTAACACAGAAAGTTGGAAAGTTGTGCACACAAGGTCAAGACATAAATTATACTCTGGTTAGATACATCAGTGGCTTTCTTATTTCTCATTTGAAAAGATAAAACAATATTTGAGTTTTTAAACAAAGATCATGTTTATGTTTAATGTAGAGATCGCAGATGTGTTAATTTCATCTTGTATCAGAATCGTTAGACATAGATGATGCAAGTGTGGGTTAAGAAAGCAAGTCATCTATCTTTTTATTTTTTCATTTTATTAATATTATTATTATTATTATTTTAATAGTGACAAGGTCTTGCTCTGTTGCGCAGGCTGGAGTACAGCGGCACAATTATAGCTCACTGTGTCCTTGAATTCCTGAGTTCAAGAAATCCTCCCACCTCAGCCTCCTCAGTAGCCAGGGTTAAAGGCACACACAGCAATACCCATTAATGTCTTTACTTTTTGTAGAACTGGGGTCTTTCTGTTGCTAGGCTGGTGCCCAACTCCTGGCCTCAAGTGATCCTACTGCCTCAGTCACCCAAAGCACTAGGATTTACAGACATGATCCACTGTGCCTGGCCTAATCTCTTTTTTTACACAAAATATCTATTTTTAATTATGTGAAAATATACATAAAATTCTGAAATAATACCCTTAAATAAAAGTATTAAAAAACATTTAAATACATTGCAAAATGAGAAAACTGTATTTATTGTTGTATTTTTCACAGGCATATGAAACACTGGGATTTTTAAATATTTATTTGATGATAACGAGGTTACAGAGATAATTGTTATAATTAAAAATAGCTAGCAAGAGCACAGTAAGAACTCTGAAAGAAAATTGAGTTAATCATTAAAAAATTATATCTCTCTATTATCTCTCCCTCTATCAAGCTGCTATCTCAGAATATTCTAGGAAACAGAAATACACATAAGAATACACAATTTCCAATACTTCACCAACTCCACACATCATATGAGCAATTAAACTGTCATGTCATGTAGCTTTTTAGAAAACTCTAGCTACAATTTTGAGACAATAAAAGTTAAAACAAAAAATAATATTTAGTATTATTGTGAAAATAGATTTGACTTTGAGTCTGTCTCAAAGGATTCTGCCTCACACTTTGAGAGCCAGTAGTTTATAAAATGATTTCCATTCTTTGAACATTCAAATTTATTTTATTTCCTAGGAAATTGTTCACTTTGTAGCCCTCTTTTTCCTTTCTATGATATATATGTCTGTGATATGAATATAAATAAAGGAAAAGATATATATTTCAAACAGTCTCAAACCAAGGAAGTCTGCAAGCATAATATTTTCTTATGCAGGTGCGAAATCATCTAATCTCTTGGTTTTGTATTTTTCAGATAATTAAACTGTACTTTAATATTTCACATATGATTACTTTTCTCAATAAGTCTTATTTTAAAATTTTATTTTTTGAAATGAAAGTGTAAAATTTTGTATTCATTATAGAAAAAATGAATAACAGAGAATAAATAATAATGTTAAAATCATCTGAAGGCTCAGTATGCACAAATAATAAATTGTAATGTTTCATGGACTCTTTTAACATCATGTTACATTATGTACTTATTATATAAAATAGAAGAATAACATCCATTTTAAAACACTGTCACAGTCTAGGTGTGTGTCTGTCTAGGTCTATGTATGTGTGTACAAATGAATACATTCTCTTATCTTACTTCATATTAAACATAATACTTTGTTACTATAATTTCTATTATTTTAATTGTTCTAATAGACATATTTTTTTTCAGTAAAACATTGTTTTAATTTTTGTAAGGCAATAATATATTTAAATACATGGTAGCACAAATATTCTGCATTTTTCAAACATGTTTGGTTTCTACTATCTTTTTATGCCTCTATTGAGTTTTGAATAACATTACATAATTGATAAATATATTAGAGTTATGGTAATATAATAGATCTATACAGACATTTGATTCAGAAATATTTATAGTATCATTTAGGCACGTGTTCAATCACGTTGTTCTATTATACTTTGATCAGTACTGTATATCCATGATGGAAATAACTTCTAGAAAAACCCTCCTATTTAGGTTATTCTAATGAGTGAGATATTCATTCTATTTCAGTTTATACCTTTTTATAAACACATGTAAATTTGATCTTATTGATAATGTAAATGAAAGCTATTGACTTTTGTAATTATATGTAATAAAAAGTAATGCACCAAAATTTTATAATATTATATATGTTATAATGATATTTTAGCTACTTGTATTCTTTCCAGGTAGACAACCAAATAATCGGTTAATTAGAACAACTAGCCAATATTTATTAATCTTATTCATTGTTCTTCTAGTTTTTCCAGGACATCATTAGATAATTGTCATGGGCACTCTTTTCTTATTTTCAATTTTCAGTAGACTGCTGCTATTAATTTGCCATTAAATAGGCTCCTGTTTAATAGATTAATTTAATTATTATAATACTCCAGATTGTCTTTTAAGTCAAATTATCTTTTCCTTTTTTTCTAAAATAATCTATTAACTTACGCTTAAATGTCTTTTCAGAAGTTCCTTGATCATATGTATCATGTCAGTAATTTCCTGATAAAGTGAGGTCATCACGTTGTATTTCCCAATGGACAGCCTGTGAAGCTTGAACTTGGCTTAGATTTAATTTATGGTATTACAGTGAGAGTCCTTATTAAATCATAAACTTCACGTAGGTTAAGATTTGGCCAATAAAACTTTTACTTTTAGCATACATTCTTTGAATTCAGGCATGCACTACAAAGGAGGGAAATCCCTAAAACGATTGCCTCATTTTCTAATTATTTGAATTGATCAAATACATGAGAAAATGCAATCCATTGATATACTGCTCCAGGGAATCTTACTTTTTGTGTTGCTAACTCTTAGTTTAATTAAGGGTTCTATAAATCTCACTGTTCCCTAGCCCTGCTCAGCATTCTTTTCCTTGGATATTGCTATTTCTGAGTAGTTTAATTTAAAAGGACTCAGCCACAGTTTGTCAGGTACTGTTATTCAATATTCCTCAAGGAAGAAATCAGAGTGATTGAAAATTAACTTCCGTTGTAAAAAGATGGCTACTCAAATTTCTGGTTAGTACAATCCTGATACTGTAAATCAGAGGCAGAATGTCCCGTGTAAACTGATGCTTTTCCCTTTGTTTCTGCTGAATTCCACGTGCTGAAATTTATATACAATAAAGTGCAACACAAATGTTTCTTTTTGATCTGCTCTGTAGTAAATTGTTTATAAGAATGGCTCCAATTATCCCACTCCCTGTAATTGTGCCCCTTGCCATTTGATTTTGCAATGGTTTTTTAAATGAAGAAAATGACTCTGCTCCACCCTTTAAATCTAACCAGACCTTATAATTTAATTCAGTTAATAAAATGCGAAGTTGTAGAGTTCCAGTTCCAAACCACAGTTTTCCAATATCTGAGTGTTTCACCTCTCCCTTTGGATTCCTTACACTACCATTGTAAAACTACTGGAGGAACTCAGTTTTCCAGGCGTGTGGATTCTCCACCAGCATTCAGCAGAGCTGCCAACAGGTAACTCCAGACACAAACGAGAGCAAAGCAGAAACCAAACAACACACAACTTATTGCAACAAAGCTAACTCCAATTTTGGATATTCGCTCACTACTTTAAGTCTCAAACCTCCCTCTCCCACTTCTGCCTCTAATCTGGGAAAGCTGATGAGATTATCTGTGTGTTCCCTCCTGTGGAACTGCCAGGAAATCAAACCATATAATCCCCTGCACACAGATGGAGAGCTGGCCCTGGCCCCACTCTGTGCCTACCATAAAAACTCCAAGCAGGCTCCTTTTCATGCACTCTTGAGCCATTTTTAGACCAGTTTCAAAGATTTTCCTGCCCTGCTCTCCCCCAAATCCTCATTATATGAGTAATATGCCTTATAGTATTCTCTTGTATGCTCTATTATCAGTCTCAACTGAAAAATAAATGTTGGGTGGGGGAGGGTTGCGTCCTGTGTCTGGAAACTACATAAAATTGTCATAGAGTCGTAAGCCATAAATAAGTATTGCTTCAAACCAGATGTTATTATGATTTAATTTTCGAAAAGATATTATCCTGAAAGCTTATTGGATGTTTTTGTTTTTGTTTGCAGTGTTGTGACATATTTCTGTATATGAGTATGAGGCATGCATTTCAGTAATAAGCATTTTAAAATGGCAATGGGGGACATTTCATGAATAGCTGTCAGTTAAATGCCACTATTAATGAAAACCTCAACATGAAAAAGTTGAGAAAATGTATTATTTATTACAATATATACCTATTGCCATAAAGTTAGTACTTTAAATCAACACATATTTATTTTCATAGTTTTTGTGAACAGGATTCAAGCATTGGTTTATCTACTGGGGATGGACTTACTTTCAATCTCACTCAGGTTATTGGCATTAGTCAGTTCTTCGCAACTCTAGGATCAAAGGCTTTATTCTCATAGTGTTGCTTGTTCCTTCCAGGTTTAGATATAAAGTTGATCAAAATATATTTATTGAATGAGCAATAAGAAAGTGTTTCATTAATAAGGAGATGTTGTGATGTTTTCCTTTGCTCTTCATCAGAGTCTTTCTTAGTTAAAAACACTTCTGTAATGACATTTCATATGTCCTGGGTGATTAAAAAAAAGTAGGGTGAGGCAGATGTACAAACAGGATGGTCTTAGCCAAGTCTCAGGACATAGGGGTAGTTTTCTTGCATGATCCATAACATGCAAGAAACATGACTTGGTGCCAGCTCTTGGGAGAAGGTCATTCCTACTCCAAAGGGAAGAATAGCTCCAGTAGATAACAATGGGAAACAAGAGGTGCACCCTCAATGCTAGTTGGTGATGTGCAGATGCAGCTTCAGCCCCACTGGGCTCTGACGATTGATGAATCTTGTTCAGCAGCCTATCCTTGTCTCTATTCTTTATTCCTTTGATCACCTGAGAAACTCCATTGTTGTCAGCTCCTGCGGTGACCTCATCTAAAGCCATGACCCATTTATTTCTCTTCATGTCTCCCAATCTACAAATCCCTCATCTAGTCTCCAGTGGAACAGCAGGGATAGCTAAAGGTATACCTTTATTTTCATTTCAAAAGAATATATTATTTCTTGATTCTCTTGGTATTTTATGGTTTATTTTCATGAACTTATGTAGGTAGTCAAAATATCAATATTTATGGCTTTAATCTCCACATTCTCAGCAAGTCAACCATAATCCATCTAGAGCAAGGTGAGTAGAACATCATTTATAAAGATGTTCAGGAATAGCACAAATATTAATATTTTAGGATACAGCACGAATGCATTAGTTAATACATGGATGGGTGAATAGATGACTGAGAAGATTGTAATGAAACACAAGTGTTACATAAATATAACACATGTTTAAAATACAGCTTGATACTGAGTAAACGATAGACAATGTGGAAACCAAAGCTTGGTATTCTTTTTAATTTTAACAACATTAAAGCATTCTTACCCTCTGATAGATATTTGTCAAGAGCTCTAGAAAAATTATATTTTTCATAGGTTGTCTGCCATTTAATTTATTCAAATTTTGATGTTTATTCTTCTATTTCCACTTATACTTTAAGAAAGATATTTGATTACGTGAATTGCTCAAAGTTTTAAACAGACTGAGGGGAGCATCTGTCTGAAATTAGAGGGCCTTTTGCTTTATTCTGCAATGCTTTCCACTGTTCTGTCATATTCAGTGGGATACATCCAAAGTTGGTGAATCAGAAATAGTGGAAACTGTGAATACAATGGTCTTGAATCAAAGTCATAAATAAATATATGTTCTAAACATAATTTAACAAATTTATGATTGCATCTTTGGATTCATCTCATCTTCTCAACTAACACATTTAACAGACTAAAATTTATCAAATTAACTGTACTCATGTTGCTAACCTAATTTACCAAATACCTTTGTAACACTTTTCTTTCTTGTAGTTGAAATTATAGTGCTCTCATTAATGAATGTATCAAAGTACATTTCCCTCAGTGATAAGGAACATGATTGCGCAATTTGTTATAACCATTTGATTATTTTATAATAGAATTGGTATATAATGAAACACTCCAATAATTACATAATTTACACTGGTGAAACTGCACATTATATTTTCTACTATTTTGAAATGGCATAGAAATAATGTGCATAATTTACACTTATATGATTACTTCTACATGTAATATGATGCACAGCCCCAAGCTGATTAATTTTTTCTTGCTTTACTATCTAGAATGTGGTCAAAGTTTTAGTGAATTAATTTGACCACCATTATGTGTAATGG
The DNA here is from genome assembly GCF_000001405.40 of Homo sapiens. Lineage (NCBI taxonomy): Eukaryota > Metazoa > Chordata > Mammalia > Primates > Hominidae > Homo > Homo sapiens. Next base: position 25,066,149 of record NC_000005.10, on the reverse strand, counting down.
GCTGAAGTTACATTAATCTACTAAGCGATATCCCCATCAAAGCTTATGAAGAACTAATTCATCTGAATCAGAACTAGCAAAATTGATTATATTTTCAACACAAAGAATGAACACCACGCATGAGTTTGTAACTTAAAAATTAAACTTCACCCTCTGTGTGTGTGTGTGTGTATGTGCGTCTGCGTGTATCATTTTTTTCAAATCATCAGTTAATTTTTTTATCGAGTGATAGGAGTTGGAGAAGAGTGGTGGGTAGCATTTGTTATAAAGACTACATAATTATATTAACTCAAGTGTAACAAATGTCTAAAATGTACTATTATTAATTTTAATGCATAATGAAATATAAATTACAACTTCATGAAGAGAATATAAGAGATCATTTTAGATTCAATTTTGTAACCATTTCGGATTCATTAATAATCCTTTCATTGAGAAGTCATAAGCACTAAGAATGTACCCTTAGCCAGAAAAATCATTTAAACTTTCTTCATTCTTAAACTTTGTTAAGGTAATCGCTCTCTCTCTCGCACGCGCGCACACACACACACACACATACATCCCATACCCTACGTAGTTTCTTAACATGAATGACACTTTACCAAAGGTGTAAATTACATATAATATTATTTCTGATACTCCTGAAACTATCACATCTTGTAAGATTATGCACTTTTTATTTGAATGGTTATTTAAAGCACTTTCAGAACGTTTAAATATATGTCCTATATTTGAAAAAATAGTCAGTAGGAGATTTATGGTTTAAGTTTGAAAGTCAGTGTGATTATGATAAACAATGTTTATAGTGGTGTTACTTGCATGCTGAGTGTATGAATTTGACGCAATTGCTTTCAGTCAGATATTGGGCATATTCCTCAATTTATGCCCAAACAAACTCTGTTGTAAATCACTGATACATAAAATAAATTGAAGCCATTGAAACATGAAATCCAAGAAAAGAGTAAAGTTTGATCGACTTACTAAAATAAATTGTAAGATTTTATGTTGCAAAGATTATAAATATGATTAAATAATAAAATATGTACTTGATTTTCCTATTTTCACATAATCTTTATTGAAATTTTAAAAAGTAAATATTACTAATTGGGAATTAAAGGTTTATTACATATCTTCAGAAATAATTTGCTTACATTCTTTACTTTCCCACCAAAAAATTAATTTTTGGAGACTGAAATTTATTTCTCATGCCTCTTTTTCTCTCTCCTTCACTTTTCACAGACATTTTCTAAGTTTTTTATAAAACCATGATCATATTATATGTGTAAAGTAGTATCTTTTGAACTTGTCCCTTTTTGCCATTGGAAAAAAATGTCCTAGACGTTTACTTGTGTATATAGGTATGGATAAAATTCATAACTATGGATGCCTAATTATGTATACTAAAAATGTGGACAAAATTGTGATCTATGGCTGCATAGTATCCATACATGGTAATTCATTCAAATATAATACTGTTGATGGACATTCAAGTTTTTTCTAGGTTAAATATTAATTTTATGACTTATGAGACCCTATGAGGCCAACATGGATAATTATCTGGTTTCCTGAAAGAAGAGCTCCATTTAATGCAACAGAGCTGTGACACATTGACATTCTGTGGCTTTGGCCCAGGAGTCTATGAAACCACTGGCCTTGCCCGGCTCTACTTGGCTTCTGCCGCATCTCTCCCTGGGAACCCCGACCCACGGGATGGTTTTGCCTCCTGGAGGCATATTTATCTTTCTCGGCAACATCCCATCATTTCCTCAATGAATTTCTAGTTTTTGCAACACACCATGTCCAGTACATTTGCAGCATTCTTTGTATTGAAGAATTCCTATAGTGATGACAATCAATGCACTCTATTTTCCCTAACTCTTTGAAATACTGACTTTTGGTTACCTGCAAAATAAACTATAAAAACGAAATATAATAAAAAATAAAAACTGAACCCAAATACTGCAGGATTAGTTTCGTCATCATGAACCTACCTGCTACTATTGTTCCCACTTTCATTTGTATATATAAAAAGTCAGAACGATCTCAACCCACACACCCAGCCCTACATGCACAGACTATCTATAATAAGCTAAAAAGAAGTGACCTAGTAGGAATGGAGGGTCAGAGGAGGAATGCAAAACATAACAAAGCTGTATTTGCCCAAGTACCCTGTAGGAACCTGGATGACATGTTACAAAGTAATTAGCAAGCAGCAACATTTTTCAAAGATGCCATAATTCACAGATATTGAAAGGCTGAAAAAAAATAAATCAACTTTTATATGGGAAATAATTATATAAAATTATATACACATTCAAGTCATCAGAGTAACAGTGCTCACTCTGGCTTGAGTCACAAGAAGATTATATTCTTTTTACTCTCAAATGAAAGACTGAGGGTGATTGCAAAGGTTAAAGGGAATGAAACTTCTGATATGTTAGAAACAAAAGCACTAGTGAAAATATTAACTCCTTTCATATCTAAAGCTGTTATAGAGGCATTACTTGTTGAGCTCTCACTGCTATTCCTCCTCAAATATTTTGCAAATATCTGAAAAGAAGCAACCAAGATAAGTGAAGAAAGTATGGTATGAAACAGACTTTCATAGCTACACTTTTAAGGTCCTAGAAACAGACTGATTTAAATATAGTCCTCCTTGAGAAATTTGTACTTTTTTGGAGAGATTCATAAGGCACACTGAAATGATCCTAAACCAGAAGTTACATAGTGTATTTGACTACTGTAGATGTAGTTGAAGATTTTTAGAGAAAAGCTAGCATTTTTTTCTACTTCCTTACTTCCCAGTATTCTTACTACTACACATGATCACAGCTTTTACTAATCATGTCTCTAGAGAAGCTATTAAACAAACAAACAAAAAAGATCACTCTTATTTCACCTGGCTTGATTCTTGATTGCAGGGTAGTTTCCCAACAGAATGGTGGAGCAGTGAGGGCCCTATGTGTATTACCAATCATATTTAATTAAAGAAGAGAGAACCCAATGGGAGAAACACTAGGAAAAGCTCTAGCTACTCTACCAGACCAGCAGAGGCTCCTTGGGGTGTTCAATTTCCCATCAAGAACAGCCGGCTGTTGTGATCAGCTGGCTGCAGATCACAACAGGAGGGAAACCCAAGAGAGACCGCTGCCTGATCGGGACTAAGAATCTGAAGCAGTATCAGGTAATGCAGCCTAATGCAAAGAAAAAAACAATGTGCAGGGAAAGTAAAAGTTAAAAAAAAAATAAGTTGATTTTGACATTAACACAGAAAAACCTGTCCTAATTGCTGAACAAGGGAGGAAGGATGCATCTCCAGAGGCTGTGGTGGCATGGCTCTCCTGTCATACATGGTTTGTACGAGGCAGCATGAGTGCTGGATTGTAACTTAAGAGTGAGAAATGACACCAGTTGTGGCAGCTATTTATGCATTGGCAGAAAATGTATAAATAGGACAATTTAATTATACAGGAACTTCAAAAATTGTCTAAACATGTTATACATCGAAATTTCTTCTTCTCTAAAGATAGAGAAAAAATACCACATCTAGATTCTGAAATATAAGAGGGTATATTCAGAATCATGGAAGAGAACTAAGTACACAAAGTTAATCATCAAAAGGCACTCAACAGATGACTTAAGCTCACCATTAAGTTCATGCACTGGCCTATGCACACAACCAGTGTACTGGATCTTCTTCATAATCTCCAACATTAACTAATTAAAATTTTACACATAGTAAATCAGCTAACTATGCCAAAAACCTTTGAACTATTTGACTGTAACTATTTTCAGATGAGATATCAGAAGCCCAAATAATGCTAATGCTAGCAGTTGTGCGGTAAGAATTAGAGCTGAAATTAAACTCAAGCTTCAGAATATTCACCCTTCTCCACAGCACGTATCCCACTGCTTTGAATGCTAAATTGCAGTAAGAGACAGGCTAAGTATAAACATTTGCAAACATTCCCCCTCCCATTTTCACAATTCTATAACATATAAATATGAAATCATATTCCAATAACATTCTTTTATTTTAATGTATGTTATTTGTAGAACATTTAAAAAGAAATAGAAATTATACTTCTATAATTGAGAGATAGCTCGTTTAACTTTCAATCTGTTGTATTTTCTTCCAGACATTTTTTTATGTATTCTTTTCTCTGAATTGAAAATATCCTTTCTTTACATTAGAAACAATATTCAACTGAAATGATCATTCTATTACATAAATTTGAAGTAATTATATATTCACAGTTTTAGAGAAGAAACTGAAGTTATCTTAATCTGAATTAGACATTTGTATTATAGTTTAAGAAAATCGATGTTGATATTTGTTAGATTACATTCTAAGACTTAGAATAATATCTTATTTTAATTTCAAAAATTCTTTTTTCTTGGGTGGCTATTAGGAGACAAAAATAACCAAATGTCTAAACAGAATATAAATGTGCACAGCTCTGTACCTAAACAGTTCCATGTTTAGCTAGACAATGAATTTTTTTATATGTTTTAGTTTTTTTAATTTTTTGTTTGTTTTTGCTTTGTTGACACTATAGTCGAGATTGAAAAGGAAAAGCTGAAAGTTTTGCCTTTATGAATTTGGTAGGCAATGGAAATGATGAGTGTTGCTTAGAAACCTAAGTGACAATTTGTGGCAGGGTGGTGTGGAAAGGTCTGATCCAGTAAGCACTGTGTGCAATCCAGCACTGCCCTCTCTCCTGAGCATGGCAGATTTAAGAGAGTTCAGACAGAGCACACTTGTCATGGAGTTGGGGTTCAATGAGGGACACTATTAGCAGTGTCTTTTCAGAGGGTCCTTCAGGCAGCCTCTGAGGGGTAGGCATCAGTCACAGAAGGTGACTAGCAAAAGCATCATGGCAGAGACCACAGGGTTAATGGTGGATGGCAAGCTGGAATGAGTCATCCCAAGGGACCATCCAAAAGCAAGAAGTGGTGGCAGTGCCAAGAAACAAAAATCATGCTGGTGGAAATACCACTTCATTTAAATTAAAATATAGTAATTAAATTTAAATTAAATACAGTTTATTTGAGCATTAAAAGTAATTTCATATGCATAGATTTTGATAACAAGATGTAAAATCCATGTATATGGGTGACTATGTAATATTTTCTATAAAAATAATATTTTTCTGTATACTATTTCATTACCTTCTTTTATTTTACTTAGTAATATAACATGAATATTACGTCACACCATTAAATGTTTGAAAATTTAAATGCAAAAAAAAGTTGATTCTGTCATACTCCCTTTATCTGAAACTCTGTTATCATTTTTTTCATTTCAAAAGGAGACCAGACATTGGGCATAAATTTCAGTTTCCTCTTCTTACAAGATGTACGGTACTGATACTCCCATTTTGAAATTTGCTGAGCTCATCCAAAATAGCCAGCAATTACCTCCCTGTCTCTCAGGGCATCTTTCTCCTAGTCATGGATATTTTTCTAAGGAAAGGGCAAGATAAGTGTCAGCTCTCAGCAATTTAGTATGACCCTGTATATATTTTTTCCATCAAAAGAGATTCATTTACTGAATTGTTTCTTAAACTGTAAATGTATACGTGGATGTGCCAGGGAATAATAGAAGTCATAGGTTAAAGCTGGTGCAATTTCTTGGGTCGTCCATTGTAATTTTGGTTGGTAATAAGACGGTAGAGGAAAAAAAAGGATACTTACAAATTTTCTGAGCTGTGCCTATGTTTTATGATCACTTGGCATTCTTGAATATATTTTACCTGAACTCTGAAGAGATGGCAGAAGGCCTTGTAAGAAATACACAGCTTAGCCTCCACCACATGAGGGGAGGCAAGAAGAAAGCCAGAAAAGAAGCTCATTAAGTGACCCTAAAGATGCCTGGACTTACGTAGTAGTTGTGATTTAGGATCTGTTTTATCGTCAATTGTCAATCATTTTTTAATTAAATCTTATCCTTTGCTTGGCTGTGAAGAACTAAAAGACCAGTTCTACACCTAGGAAGTTTTAATAAAAAGAAATTGAGAAAGAAAACACATAAGATATATTACTTAAATATATTGATTTAAATTATTCCTTTCTGTTAGATGATCCTAATAATTTTTATTTATGTCACCTTACTTTGTTTTAAACGCATCACTCTCCTCTGTTAGCAACAATAAGAGCATCCACAATTTCAAAAGGATAATCATAAAGAATGAAGCTATTTTCCTTACATGGATTTAAGGAGAATAAGAATATTAATAAAGAGAGTAGACAATATTCACTTCTGAAAAATAGGAAATAATAAGCCAAGATTAATTTGAGTACTATCCAACAAACTAAAATTTTAAAGATCTGTTTTTCCAATGCAAAGATTTGGGAAATTTATAGAGCTGAAACTTTTTCAGCTCCTGATAGGCACAGCACATCAATGCACGTTGCAGTTAGGCAATCCTGTGCATTAATTAGAAAAGGTCAAGCTGTGCAAAGGAAATGAGTGCAGTTCGTATGGGTGAGAGCTTAGAAAGTACAAGCTGTGACAATGAATTCCAAATCTGAACTAATTACCGGTGGTTTCTCCAAATAAAATGATACTGAATGTTCAAGCATGCTTAAGAGGAGACTTCCCACCTTAGTCAAAAGTTTAAAGAAAATGAGATTTTTTAAAAAGTGATTTGTAGCTTTATATATCTTTTTTAAAAAACTTATACTTTATGAATTTAATACTTTGAAACAAAGCAGGTCATTCTTTCTATTTTTTTGATGAGGAAAACAAAACTCAAAGAAAATTGGCAACTTGTCAGGACCTCACAATTTGTAACAGAATATATGAAAACTTATCCTCTGGATTTTTGACATATTTTAAAATTATAATATGTGTGAAAATCAGCATGGTAGTTTATTGGGGTCCCACCACACTCATTAATGTAAATTGTTATAGAGAGCTTCAAAAATTTTAGATAAAGCTACTTAAAGTCATATAGTTGCTTTATAAGGTGAGTGTTTGAGGACTATCAAGTCAATATTAAGCCAATATATCCTTATTTTCTGTAATTTTTAATTATCCTAAAAGTCTTTTGTCAAAAATCATGTGCGGTTGACTCAAACCTATACAGCTTCTTCAAAAATGTACAAAGTCAGACACTCCCACTAGTTATGAGGAATCCATAGAGTTTGCTGTCTGTCCCAAACTTACCCCTCAGGGCAGAGGAACGGCAATACGATATAGGGAAAGTCTTCCCCCAAATTATAAAGGAGACCAAAAAAGATAATCTTGTCTCTTCCCACTGATAGAGAGTAGGAAGCAAATAAACAACAAGGGGTTAATCAGAATCTTCTCCCGGACGCCCGATCCTCAGGGTCAATATCCAGATAAGTATGGAAGATCACCTGAGAAAAGTTACAAGCATGACATAGAGGTTTAGAGTTTTTCTGCCAGTGATTCAGTAAGAATGAAGGCTTAATGTATTAAAGTGTCTATCCATTACGTATAATAAAATTTCCCAGGCACCTAGCATAATACTAGTACCATTCTTTGGAGAATTGAGATAATAGTCACACATATTTTTCTCTGTTCTGTGGTTCAAATGAGAAAGACTAGTTTCCAAAGGCTTGCCATTAGACCGAGAGCCTCAAGGCAAAGAAGGAATGTGCTTATTTGGATAAGATAATGCTGTTTTCGTCTCTGAGTTGCTCTGGATCATCAGAGCTTGCCACCAAGAGATGCTGTGTTATTGCGATCAACAGTGGACATATATTTGCCCGAGGTCTGGAATACGAGCCTGAAAGAGGAGAACCCTTAAAGACTGATGGCAATGGAAGAAGAAGTGCTGAGTAACAAGGCATGACAAGAATTCTGTGTTTTGCCAGTGACTTTGTGAGACAAGTGAGAGTACAAGCACGTTTAGTGAGGCTGGAAGTCAATGTGCAAATGTAAGTGGTAAGAAACACCTCAACAAGAAAACAGTCTGGTTTTGAAGAAGTTTTTATTGTTTGTTGTTACTGCTTCTACTGCTGCTACTCTTTTCAATTAAAGCAAAATCAGTAATAAAATTAATACTAATTATTAACAGATACACAAGCTCAAGTTTGCATTCGAGGTTCAACTTATCTGCATAGGATATAAGAGTAGTCCACCATTATCAAAGACCACTCATTTTCTGGTTGAATAATATAAAATCCCTTAATTTATATATATATGATTTGTCAAAAATCATGTGTGGTTGACTCAAACCTATACAGCTTCTTCAAAAATGTACAAATTTTTGTGTGTGTATATATATATATATATATATATATACACACACACACATATGTTATATATAACATACATATATACATAGCATTTAAGAGTGATCATTTAATCATTTTTATTACTCTTCTTTGTACTTTTCCAAATGATCCTGTTTTATCCTAAGTTGTAGAAACTGTAACTGAATAGAGATATTTAGTACAGCTATAATTACTAAATAAAATTATATGATAGTCTAATGTTTTCTATATATTTATGTCTTTCTTTTTTTGCTAACTAAAACTCAATTAACGTTGATAAGTCATACTCAGTGCACTGCTTCCAGACACTAAGCTGCCAGATGTTTCTTTTTCTTCTTTATTGTATCTTTTGCTGTAAATTTTTTATTTAAAAAACCCTGAATATGTCCCAAAACTATCAAATTTATTTTCAATTTAAATTTTTCCCCGAATGACAGAATGTATTTCATTCTGTTGTTATTTAAAAACTCATGAGGTATGCTTACTTTTGTTAATTTCTAATGAAAACTCTAAGTACTGAGTCAATAACAGTTTTCTATAAATGTCATCTTATATATCCATGCAAACATTTTACTCCCATAATAAATATAAAAACCAAACTATCTTCTACCTCTCATTATTTAGTGGTTATAATGCTTCATAGATATCTGATGTACTTGTCATAGATCAAACAAAATAAAAACAAACTTCTGTAATTGCAGTTTATTGTCTGATTCATAAAATTAAATTGCTCAGTGGTATTAGCTTCTCTTAGAATAAAAACTTCAGCCAAATTAAATTTAGCAGAGTTTAGGACACAGAACAAAGAGATGTTCAGACAGCTCCACCCAGCAATGTGGGCAGGCAGTATTTATGGACAGAATAAAGAAGTGACACACAGAAACAGCTTGACTGGTTACAGCTTGACATTTGCCTTATATAGACATGGTCTTATCAGTTGGTAGCCTGTGACTGGCTGAAGCTCAGCTGCTGTGATTGTCTGAGACTCAGCTATTTATTACAAGAATATACTCTTAAGTTAGGTTACAGTTTGTTTACACACTAAGTTGGCTTTTAGTTTACTAAGTATAGAGACAGCTTTAGACCAAACTAATTAACTTAACAATTTCCCCCTTTTAGTCAGCTTCTCAACTTTGAGACAGTGACAAAAACCTTGGAAATTGACATTACTCTCTGCCACTGTCAAAAAGACAGTGTAGAGAGTATAGAATTTAAATGTTACAGTATTACAATTTCTCAGTATAGAATTTAAAATTTACAACGTCAGGTCAGTTGAATATCTCTAAGTTTTCGTTGTGTTCTCATTAATGCTTATGAGACCATTTGATGTATAATGGCTGGCTGCATACAATAATTTAAGACTTGAGAGGATATGGCGAATCAGGGAAACTACTATACTGGCTATCAGAAACCTAATACTAACAGACTAAAATGTACTTCTTAACAGGGACCCCCAGGAATTGAACCAATCAAAATCAATCATATCACAAATCAGCTGGAAGAGAAATCTACTTGTATAGACGAAGCAGCTTGTTTGTTGATTTCTTGCAGTTGAGTTTTTAACCTTACAAGATGTATTTATTCAATTGCAGCAGGAAATGTTAAGCTATCACAGTCCCCCCCCGTTCAGCTCATAGTCCAAAGCAATCCTGATATTGAAAACAACTTTAGCAATATAATTTTTTTAAAGTTTGCTAAGCAACTATAGTCTTTGCAGTAGAGTCAGCTATAGCAGATAATGTTTGAAATAGATTTCTAATTATAAATTTATTTACATGTACGCCAAGCCAGGGAAGAAGATTCTCCACCAAAGATGCCCATTTAAAGGGATTTATTCCTTCTGACAGTTTCCTTTTTATTCCATAGTAAAAATAAAGAGGTGTTGACCAATGTTTAATTTCCAGTTGGTTATTGAGTGACGGATGTACTTTTAGAATTTCTAATCCACATTGGTCGCTTATTTTTCACTTACTGAGACACACAGTTGCCTGCACATATGGTAGGTTGTTAAATTCTGTACAAATAATAATATATCCTAGACAGGCACAACTGACAGTTCCATGTGGGATGCCTTCTTCATTGGAACTCACCAGTAGAAATTCTCTAGTAGTATTTATCCAAGCCTCCGTTATCAAAATATTGCATGGTTAGAGGCTACCAACAATTAAGGGGTTATATAATTCATAATTTTTAGGAGCATGATTTTTCTTGTGGTATAATTTGTCAGTGTGGAACAGAGCCTGTTTATTAATGGTCCCACGTATTTTTATTCTCCCTGTAATAAGAAACTCCAGAGGCGACAAAATTTTACCTTTATCTCCTTAGGTACTTTTGGCTAGGCTTGAGAATTAAATTGTTGTTTGTAAAGATTTCCCTCAGCCTCAACTTTTCATTCTTGATAATAAGAATGTTACTATCTTCCAATATAGGGAGGACATCTTTCACATGATAATTTTATCTTATTTACATCTATTTAACTCACTTGTTTTTAACAATTATGCTTGGATTGCTTATGAAGATGAGACAATTAGGCGACTACCCATTTTCTCTCCCCCTTTTCTTTTTATTTTGCTGACATATTTTGTAATACAGAAGCAACATAACTTATTTTACCAGTACATCTAGGCAGTAAAAGTCCTGTGTCTGTATTAGCTTTTTGAGAGAGAATCACGCTCTGTCACCCAGGCTGGAGTGCAGTGATGCAATCTCGGCTCACTGCAACCTCTGCCTCCCAGGTTCAAGAGATTCTCGCGCTTCAGCTTCCCAAGTAACTGGGACTACAAGCATGCACCACCACACTCAGCTAATTTTTTGTATTTTTAGTAGATACAGGGTTTCACTATGTTGGTCAGGCTGGTCTCAAACTCCTGACCTCAGGTGATCCACGTGTCTCCACCTCTCAAAGTGCCAAGATTACAAGCATGAGCCACTGTGCTCGATCAACCCTGTGTCTGTATTCTATTTAATGTTGACAACCCTGAAGATATGCCTGTTTTAATCAAACCAACATTATCCTTATTTGCTGTAAATGATCCAAGTCACATGAACTTGAAGAGCATTTGGATTAGTTTTTGTTTTTCTGAGAGAACAGTTTATATAAGCATATGTTTTTCTTTAAGCCAATTAAATGGAACTCCTTTACAATTTGATTTTGGCAATATCATAAGAAGATAGAAAAATATCACACATATATGTCATATGTATAGATATAATAAACATGTAGACAGAAACTGATGTTATAGATTTCATTCATTTTAGCCACGTGCCAGGTACAAGAATACAAGCATTTTGTGTCTAGACTCAGCATATACACTGTAAAGTTCATGTTTGTTTATTTGTTTATTTTCTTTCTTTTTCTTTCTTTCTTTTTGAGACAGAAGTCTCACTCTGTAGCCCAGGCTGGAGTACAGTGGCACGATCTCGGCTCACTGCAATCTCTGCCTAACAGGTTCAAGTGATTCTCCTGTGTCAGCCTTCTGAGGAGGTGGGATTACAAACATGTGTCACGACACTGAGTTAATTTTTGTATTTTTAGTAGAGATGGGGTTTTGCCATGTTGGTCAGGCTGGTCTCAAATACATGACCTCAGGTTATCCACCCACCTAGGCCTCCCAGAGTTCTGGGATTACACGCATGAGCCACTGCGCCCAGCCTTATTTGTTTATTTTCAAGATTGAATGACAGACAAATCAATTTGCTTTCCAAGAATGAGTTTTGGAGCATAGCAAAGATTATGACAATATGAGCAAGGGGAAGAGAACATAGTCAGCAGGAGTTTGAGAAGTGAGGTTTTAGTCAGGTGAAAGATTCCCATGGGAGATGCAGGATCAACTAGAGAAAACAGAGATGACTAAATTTTAAAAACATTTTTATAAAAATCGTCCATGTGCCAATTAAACAGGTTCAGACACAGAGACTTTTGGTCTTGATTTGAAACCTCCAACACAGAAATATTATATTTTCTCTCTGATGGATTGGTCGATTACTGTCCCAGGGGTAAAACCTTTGGAGGCTTTCTCAAGTGGGGAAACAGTCCAGGCCAAAGGGAGTGGTTCCATCAGATTGCTGGTGTAAGAGTGGACAATTTTTTATCCAATGACTTGGCTAATTACAATAAAGGCAGACTTCTCAGAGAACATGTTCTTTAGTTGAGATCTCTCAGTTTGGGTTTAAAAATATCTATGAGTAGATTTTCTTGTTCATGTAGCTGTTTTAGCTATAATGACATACACCTGTTTTTCTTTGGTAAGACGTTTCCTCATTGTGGCCTCTGTAACTCCAAGTTACTTTTAGTAGAGTTTACCCATTTCTCTATACAAGCACAGGTTTTGAGTCTATGTTCTTAAAATGAAATTGGCTGGAGTTGCCGGTGAAAAAGTTTCAACATCCTTTGATACAGATAAACCCATGATTTTCTTTCTTTTGGCAACCTTATCTACCTACTGAACAAAGTCCAGTTTCTCTCTCACCCAATCAAATAGTTGAAGCCTCCCTACAGACCCAGTCTTGTTTCTGTTGTGACTTCCAAATTTAGTCTGGATTAAGAATACTCTAACTCAGAATGCTCAAAACACAAGCTTGTGGAGTTCCAACCTGAGACAGAGTTTGCCCACGACCCCAGTTGCTATAAGAGAGCTACAGGCACAATTGACCCAGAGGTACCTTTACTTACTTGGCCACCTGGATCTCCTGTGGGTCACTGAGGTCTACTTTGGATTCCACTTATAATGCCAAATTGTTCAAAGAAAAGCCTTAGATAAATTAAATTTAGCAGAGTTTATCTGAACAAAGAATCAGGCAGGACTCAGAACAAGGAGAGGTTCAGACAGTTCCACCTAGCAATGTGGACAGACAGTATTTATGGACAGAAAAAGGAAGTGACATACAGTAACAGTTTGGTTGATTACAGCTTGACTTTTACCTTAAATGCACATGTTCTAATCCTTTGGCAGCCTGTGATTGGCTAAAGCTTGTCTGCTATGATTGGCTGAGATTCAGCTACTTGATAGGTTACAGTTTGTTTACATTGTAAGTTAGGATGCAGTTTGTTACATATAGAGATAGTTTTAAGACAAATGTAGTTTTTATTATAGTTCTATCTTATACTTTTAGTTTATACTACATATGCACTTCAGAAAAACAATTTCTATTACTAATTTTTGCTTCAAACCAATGTAAAACGAGTATAAAGGAAAAAGAACAGTAAGTATTATTACTAAAATGTCAAAGTCATACTTGTAGAACATGAGGCAGTTCTGAAAGCTCTATGATATTGAGAAACATACACTGATGAATAATATTTATGGAATAATTTTTCTTACACTAGTATTTTTGTGGCTAATAACTATCAGTATTCATCAGTGGGGGATACTCAAACAGTACAATGATCTGCCAATCAGCTGCTTGGTGATGTCAGAGGAAAAGATGATTTAATCTGGCACGTATATATTTCACATATTTAATGATGTGAAATAATTTAATTAATATAAATTTTAATCCCCTTGGATATTTTTATGCTCTTCAAAATACACCTTGAAGGTGTTCACATTCCCTAAAAAGACTCCACTGCCAACTTACTTTAGTTAGCCTTGAATAAACAGAGTGAAAATTGTCATGTAATTTATCCATTATTTTTTAATATTTCTTTTTATTACTATTAGTTCCATTATGGTGTGGCTTATTTTTATGTCTTAAACCTTTTTTTTTTTTCAGTGCAACTGCTGTGTTGTGGTATGTCTTCTGTTAATAGAAACTAGATAAGTTATTAATAAATGGTTTTTTGAATTTAATTTTTTGATGAAAACAGCAAAGTAAATATTGGTCTTTAAATGCTATCAATGCAAATAATAAATAAGTCTTGAGTTAGAAATAAATAAAGTAAACCAATAAATAATTTTATTAGTGCAACTGCTTTATAAAATAAAAATAAAAGCACAACTTTGAAGGTTAAAAATATGTAATATTATTATCTCAAAATTACAATATATTGGTTCTCTGATTCTTTCAGTCAACATTGCACTATATAACATATTGTCAAAATCATCAAAATTAGAAGAAAGCAATCAAAGTTCCAAAGTAATCTTCCATTAAAGTGCAGTGACTTCTTATTTGATATAATAAAAGTATAAAACAATATCCAGCAAGAAACAAACATTCTAACAACAAAAAAGGAGTCCAAGGTTATCTGTATTCTTCAAACCTGATTTTTTTGAAAAAGTTACATCACAAATTTATTTAATTAGATGCCAAAGCAATCATAAATATACTGTGTGTGTGTGTGTGTGTGTGTGTGTGTGTGTGTGTGTTAAAGGGAGAAGAGATTATAACTGATTTTTTACAAAAATTAACTGTACAAATGACAATTTGGACACCCAATAATATTAATGATGTAAAATATGCAGAGGTAGGTAAATTATTTCATATTTGCTTGCTGGAAAATATTTCAGTTTATAGGCGATTGAAATAACTAATTTGTAGAGCTTGAATCAGTACTTCACAGATCATTATATATAATAATGTTTGAAAAAAAATGCCTGGAAATAATTCAGTGCTGTTCACTAAAATTATATTCATGAGTCCAAGAAATTTCTGCTAATGGTCAAGTGGCTTGATCAAACCAACGTTCTTGAAGCTCCAACGCACATATCATATACACACATATCATATACACACATATACATACCTACATTGAACAAAATTTTAAAAATACTTGAAGACCCTGGAGGATGACAAAATTTAGTAGAAAGTAGAATATATCTATATTCTACTTGTCTAAGTTAGAGAGTAAAAAAGTGAATAAAGATAGACTCACAAAAAAGAAAACTACCATTGGTGATAACATAGTTATGCCACTTCTCACCTGAGGACATTTCTCATTCACTCCTCACAATATAGAAGGCTGGAATTCAGTCAGAAATGCACAGTGTTACTACTCTTAAAAGTTGGAAGACAGAGTTTAGGGCTCTAAGGACACCTATATAATAGGAGGAAATTCTGGAGAAAGTTTTTGTATAAATTAACCACTGGCTAATCCCTGAAATTCACACAGATATAGTAAATGCCCAGGTTAGTGATGGAGAACAATGGGTGGAAGACAGAAATAATTGAGTAAATATTTTAACCACTGCCCACTACAAGGAAGATAAACCACCATAAACTGTCTGATATAAAAATTAAATTAAAAAATGGGTACTGGCTTAGGGAAAATAAAAGAACCCAGAATTATTAAAATGTATCTTTGACACTATTATAAATTTGTTCATGGACAGACAGGAAATTATGTTCATAATAAAGAATAGATAGGGTATCTTAGAAAAACTATACAAACAAACCAAAGAAAATTATAAAAATTTACAGTAAAAGTATTCTAAATAAAGCTTACTGAATTAAATTTATAGATTATTACAATGGTAGATGATTGATTTAGAGAATTAGAATATAAAATGGTAAAAATGATACTCTCTGGAAATAAAAGAAACAAAATATTTAAAAAATTACCTCACTGAAAAGTTGGTTCATATCAAGTAGCCTCCAAAATAGGTATGAAGGAGAAAGTTGCTTAAAGGAATAATGATATGGCTTATATTTTTAGAAAAGTATACATTTTAATACTTATGCATTTTATAAATATCTGCTAAATGTACTTGGTTTAGTCTTCTTCATACCTTCAGTTTGTTTATTTTCTGCCTAATTATTTGTACAAGTATTCAAAGTATGGTATTAAAATATCCAATTATTATTTTTCCTAAATTATAAATTTCTCCTTTCAATTATGTTAGATTTTACATCATGTATTTTGGGCCTTATTTGTTGGAAGCATTTATACATAAAGCATTCTATCGTTTTGATTGATTCACTTGCTTATTATAAAATGTCTCTACTCATCTCTGTTAACATGTTTTTGTTTAAGAAACTATTTTGTATGATATTTGCATAGCTATACAATTTTTCTCATGCTTATTGTTTGAATGATATGTTTTTTCCATCTCTTAACTTTAAAACTATTTGTATCTTTAAATTTTAAAAAGTGATTATTGTAGAAAGCATATGTTTCAAGCTTGTGTTTTAAAATTCAGTCTTATAAACTCTGCCTTCTGATTGAATTGTTTAAAACATTTACAGTTAAAAACATTTACAGTTGGATTTATGTCTTCCATTTTACATTTTTTTGTTTCTATAAGCCTTATAGCTTGTTTTTCCTTGATTTGTCTTTTACTGCTTTCTTTTGCATCAATTGAATATTTTTATCATAACGCTTAATTTTTTAAACTAAACTTTATTACATATTTGAGTTATTAATATTATGTAGTAGCTACTTTAGGGCTTATCTTATAAATCTGATCAAAATCTATTTCATATTTGTAATAAGCTAATTCCAGTGAGATACAGAAATATTATTCTTATATAGATATATTCCCTCTTCTGAATTTTTGTATTACTATTGCTATGACTATTATGTCTATATGTTACAAATTCAACAATAAAATTTTACAATTATTACTTTAAATCATTTTATGTCTTTTAGAAACATTGATCAAAGAAAGGCTTTAAGGATATGTTTATAGATTTTGTTATATGAACTTTTATTTACCATCTCTTGTTGTCTTCATTTTTCTTGTGGGTTCAAGTTATCATCTGATTTCATTATCTTGCTTTGCTTTAGCTTTATTCCCACCCATATCTTTTATGCTTTTCCTATTAAATATATTATTTTTTCTATGTTTTATAAGCCCAATGCTATTCTTTGAATGTGACCCCTCTAAAATTCAAGTTGAAATTTTGTCTCCATTGTAGTAGTGGTATTGAAATATAGGGCATTTAGGGAAATGATAAGTCCTAAAGGGTCTACCTCATGAATAAATTAGTGCCTTATAAAACAGCTTGAGGGAACTAGCTCAGGCCCTTTTTGTCCTTCCATTACTTCTGCCATGTAACAACACAATATTCATCCCCTATAGAGGTTCCAGCCACAACGCACCATCTTAGAAGAAGAGACACCAACTCTTTCCAGACGCTAAACCTGCCAGCACCTTGATCTTGGACTTCCCAGTCTCCAGAACTGTGAGGAATAAATTTCTATTGTTTACAAATTACGTGATGTGTGTGGTATTTTATTACAGCAGCACAAATGGTTTAAGGCACCCACCAATAAAATTATATACATATTGTTTTATTCAGAGCTTTTAAATCAGTTAGGATGAAATAAAATATGAGATTATATTTTATTTGTAATTACATAATTACCACTACCAGCACTAATATTTAATTCATGTGGATTTGAATTATTGCTGGGGTCACTTGCTTTTAGCCTGTAGAAATGCCTTTAGTATTTCCTCTAATGTATGCCTACTAGCAACAAAATTTCTCAGTTTTGTTTCTCTGTAAAGTCTTTGCTTCCTCTTAACTCTTGAAAGATAGTCTGCTTTGCAATAAGCTTCTTGGTTGACAAATTCATTTTCTTTTTTTAGCACTTTAATAGATTGTTGTATTGCCTTCTGTTCTCCATTATTTCTGATGAGAAGTCAGCTATAAGTCTTTTGAGGGCTTCCTTCTATTTATTGAGTAATTTTTATCCTGCTACTTTCAATATAGTCTTTCTTTTGTCAATTTTACTATAATTCTGTATATTGTTTTATACTTATTCTGCCTGAAGTTCATTGACCTTCGTGGCTATATGGATTGTTGCTTTTAATCAAATTTGGGAAACTTCAGCCATTATTATTATTATTATTTTTTACTGCGTTCTCTCTATCCTCATCCCCTAATACTCATTCCCATTGTGTGCATATGTTAGTCCACTAGAGTGTCTCACATCTTTCTCTATATTTTTCTTTATTCTTTCTTCTCTCTGTTAGTCAGACTGCACAATCTGTTGGCTTGTCTTCAAGTGTGATGATTCTTTTACTAGTTAAATCTCCAGAGCTTTTAGAGTAAAATTTTCATTTTAGGTATTATACTATTTAACTCTAAAATTATAATTAGTTTTTAAATAATTGAGTCATTTTTGATATTTTCTATTTCATGAGCCATTATCATCATATTTAGTTCTTTCACTGATGTTTTCTTTAGTTTTTTGAACATATTTATAATAGCAGCTTTGAAATTTTATTTGACAATCCCACCTTCTGGGATCCCTGAAACACAGCTTCTATTGTCTGCTTTTTATTGTATATGGGTCACACTTTCCTGTTTCTTTTCATGTCTCATACTTTCAGTTAAAATGCAAACATTTTAAGATAATATGTTATAGTTTCTCCCTTCCTTTAATTCTGGGGCTGTTTTTAGTGTCCTTTTCTTGTTTATTTATTTAGCGACTTGGCTGGACCACTCCAGGGAAGTCTATTACTCTCATTGTCTGAAGCTCCTGATTTTCCTCATCCCAAGGTATAACCCTTACCATGAGTACAATTGCCTTGGGATGACAGTGGTTTTAATGGGTTGTCTTTGATGGTCTTTTCCCCTGATATCTCTGTAAAGATATCTGCCTACACCACACTTTTAGGCTCTGCTACTTGCCAACTGATTGTTGTTTTTTACTCAACACTGTCCTGTGGCTGAACGTGTTCCTCAGTCTGATTCAATTACATCTATTCATTTTGTGGAGCTGGTCTTCGATCCCAGTTTTTGAGTCCTATTCCAACCCCAAGAGGGCTCTTCTTAGCTGTCTCTTTATCTGATTATGGTAGCTTTCTAATCAGTCTGTAATTTAGCTTGTTGTTCTCCTGGAACTACTAGCCTTCTTTTAATTGCTTACCAGAAAATTTCTATCGTTTCAGAGTACTCCCTTAGGTTTGAACTTCTCCATACTCTGCCACAAATAAAGTTAATTCTTCGGGAGAGTTTCAGCAGCTTCTGCTTGTAACAGTCTGCTTGGGCTAACGAAACATAATACTAGAAAATGGGTATAAAGAACAGAAATTTATTTTCATAGTTCTGGAGGCTGGGAAGTCCAAGATCAAGGTACGAGCTAGTTCAGGCTCTGGTGAAAGATTTATTTCTGGCTTGCACATGGCTGCCTTCTTGCTATGTCTTTACATGGCAGAGAGAGACAGAAAAAGAGAGAGAAAAAATAGTTCTGGTGTTATTTTCTCTTCTTATAAGGTCACCAGCCTTATCACTTTAGACTTTCACCCTAATGACCTCATTTAACCTTTATTACCTCCTCACAGATCCTATTTCTGCCTACAGTCATATTGAGATTTAGGAGTTAAACATGTAAAATTTGGGAAAGGGGCAAAAACTTTTAATTCATAAAACTGTTCTTACAGCCTGAATGTCTTACTGGACAAAATATCTGAGCCACTACTCAAGAACTGGGAATGAAGGCAGTAACCCACTTGTTATGGAATGATGCACTGGCTTTATAAGCAGTGTCAGGTGGGAACAGTAGCCTCTGCTATCAGTTTGCATCTTCCTTCGTGGAAACTCTGACTTACTAGAAATTTGGGGTGATAGTGATTGGAGTCTATTTTCAGCTTGCTCTGTCTAGGGTAGAGTCTATCCTCTTGTTGGAGCTAAAAAATCCAGACCTCTTATATGTGCCTACCTGAAATAGAAACTTGGCACCATAGAGTTAGGGAGATGAGAATTGCTTGCAGCCTACTTCTCCTGGGGAGAAATTAGTATTAGTAGTTTTAGACTGGGAGCTGGAGGTAGAGCAATTCTAGTATTATTGCATACATCTCAGGAAAAGACTGCCATCAGATTGAGCTGACAGAGGTTGGGAAAAAAGTGGGTCATGACTCAAATGCCAAAAACTTTCTATTCTTTCCACTTAAGGACAATATATTACATTAATGGCAGTATGGTAAAAGCTTATACAAACAATGTAGAAGATTATGAATAAATTACTTCTACAAACAAATAAAAAACAAAATGATGACCATTTTGTCCAAGCAAAAATATCTAAGCCCAGCATTTGAAGGCCATCTATGTTTAACTTATTATATAATGAAATCTGAAGGTTTACTCAAAGAAAGATGATTTTCTATTATTTTTATAATCATATTTAAAGCAAATATCCAAATCACAGAGAGCACTAAAAAAACACTAGTATCATTTTAGTAACCTCTAATTGTGAATTAACATTAGCTAAGGTTTATTAGAAATAAAAGGTAAAAATTAAAAACAACAAAATATAAACTACATGCATATTGACACTTATGAAAAATAGAGATCTTGGTGGAAGACTACAATTAATAGCATAATTTATGTTGATAAGCTGTCATTATCAATATTATTATATTTATTAGGGTATAGTAGGTGTGTTATTTAATTTTTTCACGATCTATGGTTCATAGATGGCTAGAAATCATTAACACTCATTCTGAGAATTATGGAATATTGAAAGACACAGATCTATGGACTCTCAAAATGTAATGTAAGCTATTATTTTGGAAATGTTGCTAAATATATACAGCCATAACTTGAAGATATTTCAGGTTTCCCTCCATACCACTGCAATAAAGCAATATTATGATAAAGCAGGTCAGACAAATAATTTGGTTTTCTAGTACATGAAAGTTATGTTCACACTATCCTTAGACTGTTAAGTGTTCAGTTAGTATTATGTCTAAAAAAAACCCAAAATACATACCTTAGCTAAAAATACATTACTGCAAAAATTGCTAACAATTATGTGAGACTTCAGCAGGTCATACTTTTGCCGGTGGAGTATTTTGCTTTCATGTTGGTCACTGCTGACTTGGGGGTGGTGGCTGAAGCTTGGGGTGGCTGTGATAATTTCTTCAAATAATACAACAATGAAGTTTGCCACATCAATTGAGTATACCTTTCATGATAGATTTATCTGTAGCATGCATCGATATTTGGTAGCATTTTACTGTTGGTAGAACATCTATCAAAACTGAAGTCAATCCTCTCAAGCCCTGCTACTGGTTTAGCAACTAAGTTTATGTAATATTGTAAGTCATTTGTTGTTGCAGGAAGTCAGGGACCCTGAATGGAGGGACCAGCTGGAGCCATGGCAGAGGAACATAAATTGTGAAGATTTCATGGACATTTACCACTTCCCAAATAATACTTTCATAATTGCTTACTCCTGTCCTACTTTAATCTCTTAATCCTGTTATCTTCCTAAGCTGAGGATGTAGGTCATCTCAGGGCCACTATGATAATTGTGTTAACTGTACAAATTGATTGTAAAGCATGTGTGTTTGAAAAATATGAAATCAGTGCACCTTGAAAAAGAAAAGAATAACAGCGATTTTAGGGAACAAGGGAAGACAACTATAAGGTCTGACTGCCTGTGGGGTTGAGTAAAAAGAGCCATATTTTTATTCTTGCAGAGAGCCTACAAATGGATGTGCGAGTAGGGAAAATATCACTAAATTCTTTTCCTAGCAAGGAATATTGATATTAATACTCTGGGAAAGGAATTCATTACTGGGGGGAGGTCTATAAATGGCCTCTCTGGGAATGTCTGTCCTATTCAGTTGAGATAAGGACTGAGATACACCCTGGTCTCCTGCAGTACCCTCAGGCTTACTAGGGTGGGGAAAAAACCTGCCCTGGTAAATTTGAGGTAAGACCAGTTCTCTGCTCTCCAACCCTGTTTTCTGTTGTTTAAGATGTTATCAATCAATACATGCATCGCTGAACATAGACCCTTATCAATAATTCTGCTTTTGCCCTTTGCTTGTGATCTTTGCTTTTGCCCTTTGCCTTGCGATTTTTGTTGGACCCTTAATAGGAGTTTCTGATTTTGCCCTTGTCCTGTTTCCTCAGAAGCATGTGATCTTTGTTCTCCTTTTTGCCCTTTGAAGCATGTGATCTTTGTGACCTACTCCATGTCCTTGCACCCCCTCCCCTTTTGAAATCCTTAATAAAACTTGCAGCTTTAAGGCTCAGGCAGGCATCATGGTCTTACTGATATGTGATGTCACCCCAGGCAGCCCAGCTGTAAAATTCCTCTCTTTGTACTCTTTCTCTTTATTTCTCAGCTGGCCAACACTTATAGAAAATAGAAAGAACCTATGTTGAAATATTGGGGGCTGGTTCCCCCGATATTTTGTTGTCATTTCAACACTTTTCAGAGCCTCTTTGCCAGGAGCAGTTTCCATCTCAAGAAACCACATTATTTTCCCTTCAATCAGAAGCAACTTCTTATTCATTCAAGTCTTATTATGAAATTGTAGCAATTTAGTCATATCTTCAAGCTCCACTTCTAATTCTAGTTATCTTGCTATTTTCAACCATATCTGCAGTTACTTACTCCACTAAAGTCTTCAACTCCTCAAAATCATCCATGAGGGCTGAAATCAACTTCTTCCAAACTCCTGTTATTGTTGATATTTTGACTCTACCGTCTTCTTAATGACACTTAGAATAGTGAATCCTTTCCAGTAGGCCTTCAATTTAGATCCATCAGAACAATTACTACTCTTGGTAGCTATAGCCTTATGGAATGTATTTCTTAAAGAATAAGACTAGAAAATGAGAACTATTCCTTGATTTCTGGGCTGCAGAATGGATGTTGTGTTAGCAGGCATGGAAATCACATTAATCTACTTGTAAATCTCCTCCAGAGCTCTTGTATGATAAGGTTCATTGTCAATAGGCAGTAACATTTCAAAAGAAATCTTTTTTCTGAGAGGTAGGTCTCAACAATGGGCTTAAAATATGCACTAAACAGATGTGCTGTCATTCAATCTTTATTGTTTCATTGATAGACAACAGGCAGAGTGACTTAGCATAATTTTAAGGGCTCTAGAATTTTCAGAATGGTATAAATAAGCATGTGCTTTAACTTAAAGTCACCAATTGCATTAGCTACTGAGAAGATAGCCTGTTTTTTAAAACTTTGAAGCAATTATTTCTCTTCCCTATGAATACCCTAGATTACATAAAAGGCAACTTTACTTGCACTAAAAATATATTGTTTAATGTAATCACCTTCATCCATTATTTTAGTTAGATATCCTGGATAACTGGCTGCAGCCTCTACATCAGCAATTCATGCTTCACCTTGCATTTTATGTTATAGAGTTGGCTCTTTTCCTTAAACCTCATAAACCAAACTTTGATAGCTTCAAATTTTTCTTATGCCGATTCTTCAAGTCTCTCAGCCTTCATAAAACTAAAGGGAATTAGGGCCTTGCTCTGCATTAGGCTTTGGCTTAAGTACACGTTGTGGGTGGTTTGATCTTTTCAGACTACCAAAAACTTCTCAGTATCAGTAATAAGACTGTTTCACTTTTTTATGATTCATATATTCTTTTTTTTTTTGAGACGGAGTCTTGCTCTCTCGCTCAGGCTGGAGTGCAGTGGCACGATCTTGGCTCACCGCAAGCTCCACCTCCCAGGTTCATGCCATTCTCCTGCCTCAGCCTCCCAAGTAGCTGGGACTACAGGGGCTCACCACCACACCCAGCTAATTTTTGTATCTTTAGTAGAGACGGGGTTTCACTGTGTTTGCCAGGATGGTCTCGATCTCCTGACCTCGTGATCCACCCACCAACTGAGTAGAACTTTTAAGTTTCTTCAAGAACTTTTATTTTTTATTCATATCTTTGCTAACTCTTTGACACAAGAGGCCTATCTTTGGTCTATCTCAGTTTTTGGCATGCCTTTCTCACTAAGCTTAATTATTTCTAGCTTTTGATTGAAACTGAGAGAATATGACTCTTCCTTTCACTTGAATATATAGAGGCCATGGAAGGGTTATTAATTGGGCCAATTTCAATATTGTTGTGTCTCAAGAAAATAGGGAGGGCTGAGGAAATGGAGAGCAACAGGGGAACAATGAGTCAGTAGGGCAGTAAGATCACATATGACCTTTATTGGTTAAGTTCACCATCTTTTATGATGCTCCAAAACAATTACAATAGTAATATCAATGATCATTAGTTACAGATCACCATAACAGATGCAATAATCATGATAAAGTTTGAAATATCATGAGAATTACCAAATATGACACAGAGACAAGAAGTAAGCCTATGTTGTTTGAAAACATGTTGTCGTTAGACTTGCTCTACACAGGGTGGCCACAAATCTTCAATTTGAAAAAAAAATACACACAAAGTGCATTAAAGTGAAGTGCAATAAAATAACATATGCCTGTGGAGGAGCTCTTTCTATTTATTGTTTATTAATATTATGTTGTTTTACTATTATGCTTTAGTATACTGCTTTTCTTATTATAGAAATTTTACTTAGAAGACATTCTTCTTTGTTTTTGACTATGTTAGGAAATAACTAATGGGTTGGATGCAGAAGTAGTTTCTTTTACTTTTTCTTTTTTTTCTTTTTGATAAGATCTCACTCTGTCACTCAGGCTGGAGTGCAGTGGCACGACCACAGCTCACAGCAACCTTGACCTCCCAGGCTCAGGTGATCCACCCATCTCAGCCTCCTGAGTAGCTCTGGGACCATAGGCACAAACCACCATGTCTGGCTAATTTTTTGTATTTTTTATAGAGATGAGGTTTTACCATGTTGACAAGGATGGTCTCAAACTCCTAGAGTGACTCAACCCCCCTACCTCAGCTTCCTAAAATATTGGAATTACAGGCGTGAGCCACTGTGCCCAGCCCAGGAGTAATTTCTTTTCTTTTCTTTTCTTTTTTTTTTTTTTTTTCTGAGCTGGAGTCTTGCTCTGTCACCCAGGCTGGAGTGCAGTGATTTGTGCTAATTTAATTTTAGAGAAAGATTTGAAGTTGATAGGTTTATTTAGAACTGAGCATGACAATTTGCCATGGCCAGGTGAGAAGATGTTCAGAAATATGATGATGGAAAACAAACAAAAACAAAAAAAAAAAAAAAAGGAAAAGAGGAAAGTATCATTAAATAGTAAAAGAAAAAAGCAAGCAATCATTTAAGAGCAGAGAAATGTCAAAAATATTGAGTAAACATAAGCAGTTACCCATTGTTTAATATTATTAAATCAAAATATCCAAAAAACTACTGAATATAGCCAAGCGGTTTATTTATTAGATACTATGGAATATAAAATGAGAGAAATATATGTGTTTTTCTTTTATTTCAAGGTAGCAATTTATGTTCCATTTTGATGAATTGGTTTTAGAGTGATTAGCTCTTATCTATTAAAACTGATTTTAATTAATTTGAAAGTTTCTACTTTAGTATCAATGTATCTTAGCAGATACTTTTTGCCATTATAAATTTTAAAGTTATGATATAACTCTGACATTTTAAAAGTAAATAAGAAAGCTATTTGAAAAATAGAAAAATACTTATATAAGGAAATCTCAATATGTAATTTTTATTTTATTGAACAAGAAAACTAATTATTAAAGATGAAGCACATGAGTTTAGAAAATTTATCATCAGCATTCAACTGTATTCACTTTAAACAGTAAATTGCAATAAACTTTATAATACACCTGTCTAAGCAGAGTAATTCCTTAAACGTTGCCAAACAACACATATATGGGCTAAAAATAGTGTTAGGGCTTTGTAAAATGTCTTTTCTAAAGTTTATAAATGGAAGACCCATTTTTCCATTTTGATTTATTGCAAGAAAATTGTGTCAGGTATTTTAAAGTTATTCTTCAACATAATAAATGCTGTCATCCTATGTAGCACTTTTGCATATAAATGACAACTCTGACCAATAAAGCTAAACTATTTTAATAACAAATTGATAAAGCTTATACTGAATATAGTTTTAAATGGCCCTTTCATACTTTCAGTTAGCTAAAGGTTTTACAGATGAATATGTTACTATATACATGTTAAACATATTCCGGGAAAGGACTATATTATAGAACATAGGCTGTAGGCAAAACCAACAGGATAATATATTTTATAAGAAACCATTTTGTGTTTATTTAATATACAATATTACTGTTATGAAAATTACAGAATATCACAAGAAATTTATTTGCATATTCCAAATAAAAATAAAGCTTGGCAATTGGGATCAAGTGAAAAATGTAAAATATGTACAATGTTTTATGAATATTTGTGTTTTAAATGACAATAAATATTCTCACTAAAATGCCAGATTATTTTTGTTTTGTTTTTAATTGTTGGTCTGAAATACTTTTAAACATATAAATCAACTAATACTCCCTGAAAAATATTTAAAATATAGTTAGGCAGATGACCACAGTGAACCTATATTTTTTCAAATGGAAAAGGTATTATATTTGTACAATTCTCAAAAAAACTTAAATGAAACGTAGGAAAATTTCTGACATGCAAAACTTTAACTGAAAAAAATACATTTTAAAAAATCTAAAATTTTAATATAGATTAGCAATGTTATCAATATCTCAAGCACTATCACTTCACAAAATATTTTAATTATTTATATATCACAGTTTTACAAGAAGAAAATAAAATGTATTGAAAATCATAAGAAATATCAAGACTTTACAATAAAAAACAAATATTTATTTTATTATTGTAAGTACACATTATAATTAGTTATTTTTACATATTTTTGATACTTTCCAATTTTTCTGAATGAATGAAATGTCTTGTTAAAACAGAAGCAAAATTTGGATTTATATACAATATAATTTATAATATCATATCATACATTTGGAAAAAAATTATTTAATTTACCAATACATAACCAATAAATTGCTAGTAACAAGGAACAGCTTAATCAGCATTGAACCTTTTTCAGAATATCCACTGAAGATAAACTAAAAAGTGTACCAGTGTGTCTTTTTCAAAACAATTAATTTAACAGAAACCTCTTTATTATATAATTTTTTAACGAATTAATTATAACAATTTTAACAAAAACCTCTTTATTATATAATTTATTAAAAGAATTGTATAGTTTCACAAAGGAAATCTTCACTATTTCTAAATAACATTCTTTGCT
The DNA here is from genome assembly GCF_000001405.40 of Homo sapiens. Lineage (NCBI taxonomy): Eukaryota > Metazoa > Chordata > Mammalia > Primates > Hominidae > Homo > Homo sapiens. The sequence goes on along the minus strand of NC_000005.10, from coordinate 25,039,079 downwards.
ATTTCTGGAAATTGCACAGAAATCATTGCAGAGAATCTTCGTCTCTTCTTTATATTGTTTCTTCTACCAAGTTACAATCAGGTTATCATCTTTTATATTTTGCCCAGACCTTGAACTAATTTTCATATTTGAATACTTATTCAAAATCAAATACATATTAACAACTTAAATCCATTGATTATAATAATTTAAAACATAAAAAATAATAACACTTTATAATTTTTTAAAATTTAAAAGATAAGAGCAGTTAATATATCTCAAAAAATCGGTTAGCAAAATATAGGATAAAATTGACAGTTTGCTCGGGAGATACCAAAAGCTGCTCTCAGGAACAAGAATCTCAGTTTCAAATTTAACAATGAATTATTTATATATATGCGTATGTACACAGACTCACACACAAACACATATTCAAATATATAACTTAATGTATATATAATATTACATGCACACACACATATATGTAAAATCATCACATGATAATTTGTCTTTCTATATAAGATATATAACAGTGCAACACTTACTGTGTTCCAAATGTTTGTTGGTCAAATAACGTAAAGATAACTTGAAAATCAAAATGGAGGAAAGCAGCACAAAATTTTGACCTTGATATCAATGCTGATAAAATACAGACTTAATTTCTACACACTATTGATTCATTGTTAGAAATTTTCTTGGTTAATACCAGTGATAGCAATAGCCTTATAAACAATGTTAAAATTAAGATAATCTCAAAAATAACAATGGAGTGGCTCAGACTTGTAATCCCAGCACTTTAGGAGGCCGAGGCGGGCGGATCACAAGGTCAGGAGATCGAGACCATCCTGGCTAACACAGTGAAAGCCCGTCTCTACTAAAAACACAAAAAATTAGCTGGGTGTGGTGGTGGGCGCCTGTAGTCCCAGCTACTAGGGAGGCTGAGGCAGGAGAATGGCGTGAACCCGGGAGGCGGAGGTTGCAGTGAGCCGAGATCGCGCCACTGCACTCCAGCCTGGGTGACAGAGTAAGACTCCGCCTCAAAAAAAAAAAAAAAAAAAAAAAAATGGAAATACTGAAAAGAGTCAGTGCGTGATAGTTTAAAAACTATGAAATTACAATGATAGAAGATTAAATTTTAATTTTTATTATATTCTGTGTCAACTCTAGAAATTTATCATAAGCAATTTATCAAAACTTCCATCTTGCATGTCAAAAGGATACATTTTGACATTCAAGGATATAGACTGCACCACAAATTAATGAGTTTGTCTTCCATCTAAGATTTGCCTTCTCTACTGTTTTCATTCTCCTGAAGGACACCATCACCTACACAGATTTACAAGTCCAAAACTTGAGTAAATAAATAATACTGCTTCCTTTTACTCAAACCCATTCCTAATCTATCACAGTGCTCTCTAAATTAACCTCATATATTTTTGAGACATCAAATACAGATTAGTCTGATTCCTCCAGCAAACCATAGTTCAAACTTTCTACCTTACTGTCACAACCCCCTCATAGTTCTACTTATGTCTCCTGTACCCTGTATTTGAACATACGTTAATTTTCCATGTATGTCAGCATATCTTCTGTTAAGATGTTACGTATATAAATACAATGGAATATTATTTACTTTTTAAAAAGAAGAAAATTCTGCCACATGCAATAGCATGAATAATCCTGGAGGCCATTTTACTAAGTAAAATAAGCCAGTCACATTAGGAAAAACACTGCATCATTCCACTTATAGGAAGTATTTAAAATAATCAAATCATAGAAACAGAGTGAAATGGTGGTTGCCAGGGGACGGGGCAGAGAGAAATGGAGTGTTGCTGTGTAATAGGTGAATCTTCAGTATTTCAAGATAAACAATTTCCAAAGATGAGCTGTACAACAATGTGCATATAGTTAATAATACTTTATTATGCATTTACAAATTTGTTAAAAGGGTACATCTCGTGTTAAATGTTCTTACAACAATTTTTTTCAGGCCGGGCACGGTGGCTCAAGCCTGTAATCCCAGCCCTTTGGGAGGCGGAGGCGGGCGAATCACGAGGTCAGGAGATGGAGACTATCCTGGCTTACACGGTGAAACCCCGTCTCCACTAAAAAATACAAAAAAAATAGTAGGGCATGGTGGCGGGCGCCTGTAGCCCCAGCTAAGAGGCAGGAGAATGGCGTGAACCCGGGAGGCGGAGCTTGCGGTGAGAGGAGATCACGATCACGCCACTGCGCTCCAGCCTGGGAGACAGAGCGAGACTCCAACTCAAAAAAAAAAATTTTTTTTCGAAAAAAACCCCTCAGTATCCATATCAGCTACCATGCTCTCTGTAATTACTATTGCAGTACACATGACATGTCTTGCTCCTTCTTTTACTGTTTTGGTTTTTTTCCTAATACTTTTCCACACTGGAGCCATAGTGATCTTTTAAAAATACCATTTAGATTGTATGAGTTATTTATATAGTTTGAATAATATTAACCCCCTATTGAATATATGGTTTGCAAATACTTTCTCCCATTCTACAGATTGCCTTTCATTTTTTTATTATTTCATTAGCTATGCAGTAACAGTTTACTTTTCTATAGTGTCATTTGTTTATTTTTGTGTTTTATACCTATGCTTTTGATTTCATATCTACAATAGAAAAAAAACCCAAATAATTTAGAAAGGGGCCAAGGATCTGAATAGACATTTCTCCAAAGAAGACATGCAAATGCATATATGGAAGGTGTTTAACAGTACTAATCATTAGGAAAATGGAAATTAAGTCTACAATATCACCTCATATCTGCTAAGATGGCCATGATCAAAAATTGAAAAGTTAGCAAGTGTTGGAGAGGACACAGAGAAAAAGGAATCCTTATACATAGTTGGTGAAATGTGAACTGGTAAAATATTATTAAAAACAATATGAAGTTTCCTCAAAAAATAAATAGGACTAACATATGATACAGCAATCTCACTTTTGGGTATATATCTAGGGGAATTGAAATCAAAATCTTAAAATAATATCTACATTCCCACATTTATTGCAGCATCGTTCACAATAGCCAAGGTATGGAAACAACTGAAAGTTCATCAACAGATGAATAAAGAAAATATTTTATAGACATTGATAGGCATAGATACACTGGAATACTTTTTGGCCTAAAGGAAAAAAATTTTGTCATGTGCAATAATACGAATAAACCTGGAGGACATTATGTTAACTGAAATAATCCAGGCACAGAAAGACAAATACTACATATCTTACTTACATGTGGAATCCAAAAAAGGAAAATTCACAGAACAGAGTACAAAGGTAGTTACCATGAATCCAGAATGAGAGAAATGAGGAGATGCTGGGGGTGGGTGGGGGGAAATGGGGAGATGTTGATCAAAGGATATAAACTTTCTGTTAAAAGATAAACAAGTTCTGGAGATCTGAGAGGCAGCATCATGGCTATATTTAATAATAATACTTTGTATACCTGAAAATGGTTGCTATGTGAGGTGACGGATATGTTAATTAGCAGGATTGTGTTCATTATCTTCCAATGTTTGTATATATCAAAACATCAAATTGCACACCTTAAATATATATAAATTTTGTTTTACGTATTTTATGTATTGAGGTTAATTGTACCTCAATTAAGATTTAAAAGAAGAAAGTTAACGTGAAAATCATATCTAACTCACCAACCAGAAACAACCACTGAGAGTAATTTGATGTACTTCCATCCAAGTTTTCCAGCTCTGTGATTATATTTTTGTATATCTGTATTAATACAGATACACAGTTATATAAACCTTTTAATGTCTATTTTTTCTCTATATAAAATAAGTACATTTGCAGTAGCAAATTTAGAGGCTTACATAAAAGTTGAAAAAGTAAAACAAAATAAGATTCAGAAAAATCCTCCAAAAATAAAAATAAGAAAATATCACTAGGATCATCTGATTCCTTAGATTAACATCACATCTTTCAATATATCCTATTTTCCTTTGAAACATATTTAAATTGTTCTATTTTAGCATCTAAGATGTAGGTTAGACCCTGACTTTTCCCAACTCACTTGACACATCTTGCCTTTCTTCCCTCCGCTTCAGACATTTAGTGTTTTCTTTGCTTGTTCATTTCACTTTAGTTTATGTTCTTTTCTTCAAATGCAGTAAGCACTATCCTGTATTTGTAGCTTTGTGCATTCTTCTCTTCCTGTTTTATTTTTTATTCTCCAGGAGTTTTACATGTTGATTAGGTCTTTACATTGTTGGGTTTCCTGTATAATTCTCTGACAAGAATAACGGAATGCCTCCAATATGTGCCCTTTTATCATCTATTACAAGAATCTATTTTGTTATGATTCTTTCTTGTGCATTATCTGTTTTCCTTAACAATGTATACATTTGTTTGTGTCATAAATATTATTGCTTTTGCTGACTCCTGTATCCCCAGCATTCAGCACTGTCATAAGCTCCCACTAAAATCTCATTAACTTGATTTTGAATAAATAGGCATAAGAATAAATGTGGGCATTCAGAAGCACCCAGCTATGCCCAGTCCTAGTTTTCTTTCTACTTATAGTCTTACATTCCTTCATTTCAGAAAGTGTTTGAAAGATAAAAGTTGAATATTATTGTACGATAAAGGCAAAAGCCTGTACTGAAATCAAGGAAGGGAAGAAACATGGGTCCAAATCAGAATCCTCCTGATTTTATGTCTGCTGGCTTCTGATATCTCATCGTATTTGGAAGAAGGGTCATAAACTGAGACTGACATGAGTGTTTATGATTTGAGCTTTAAGGGATAATGAGGAATTAACAATTTCCTTAGTAGAAAAGCAGACTTTTAATGCAGTATTGAAGATACATTATAGTTTATAAGCATGGATTTGTATGTAGCAATATGTTTGATTTTGAGATTTCCCTGAGTGATGCTCAGTAACCTGAAGAGTTCGCAGAGAAGATAGATTGTAAATATAACCTAGTTTTAGTTTTTCCCCACCACAAGCAGAGCACTGATATTCGAGAATGATTTGAATGACAGGCCTTAGAATTTAATCTGATTTTGAAGGGAATAGACAGCTATGGGATTATACACAGAAGTAGGGTAAAAGGTAAAAGAATCAATGAACTCAGAACACCAATAGATAGAAGATACCTTAGTCTATTCGTGTTGCTATAAATGAATATTTGAGGCTGGGTGATTTATAAAGAAAAGAGTTCTATTTGGATCTTGGTTCTGTAGGCTGTACAAGAAACATGACGTCAGTGTATGTTTCTGGTGAAAACCTCAAGCTGCTGGCAGAAGCAGAAGGAAAGTAGGAATCACATGATTAGATAAAAAGGAGGAAAGAGAGGAGGGAGATCCTAGGCTGTTTTTAATAATCAGTTTTCTGTAAATTAAGAGTGAGAACTCATTACCGTGAAGGTGGCACCAAACCATTCATAAGGGATTCACCCCACCACCCAAACATCTCTCACTACCAACATTGGAGATCAAATTTCAATATGAGATTTGGAGGGGACAAATATCTGAACTATGTCAATAGAAAGCACTGAAAGTGGGTTAAATTGAAGGAAAAAAACATGATTGTTAGGTTAGTGGTGGATAAGCTGGGCCTTCCTGGCCACACCCACTTTCAGTGTGGTCTCAGTTGCCCAGCTGAAGCACTTGCCAGCAGCCACCCCCATTACTTTCACTGGCAGACCCTGTCTAACAGTCAGAGAGCTTCTGCAGGGAGGCTCCCACCAGCTTGCACAAACCTGCAACCCACTCACTGTTGCTTCACCACCACTCGTTTGCCTGTAGCCTCCCTCGTGCTTTGCTGGAGTGCATGTGCATACTGACCCCACCACCACCATACTACCAGCATGCACAGGCACATGACACCCACTGCTGCCATGCTGAAACCCTGCCAAAGTACATTTGCTGGCACCCCTCATTGGAGTGTTATTGTTAGCAGACTGGAAACACATTGGCCCCTCCAGTGTAGCAGGTGCTTAACCTTGAAGGGCCAGAGAAAAAAGCTACAGGCTTAGAACCAGCACCCCAGGGTTACAACATTCAGCCTAGGAGTGCTGAACTGAACTGAGCGTTGGCCTCCTGAAATCATTCAGAAATGAAGCCAATTGACTAAATTCAACTTATACCACAGTCAAATCCTCAAGAACATTGAAAAATATAAAAGTAAAAAGTCTCATTTAAGGGATAGAAACTTCAAACATTAAAGGAACACCAGCCCACGCAGATGAAAAAGAATCAGCACAAGAACTCTGATTCCAGAACCATAAAGTCCAGAGGTTCTTCTTACCTCCAGATGACCACACGATCTCCCCAGCAATGGTTCTTAACCAGACTGAAATGGCCGAAATGACAGACGCAGAATTCAGAAGCTGGATGGCAACAAAAATTATCAAGTTTCAGAAGAAAGTTGAAACTCAATCCCAGGAATTCAATAAAAAGATACAAGAGTTGAAAGATGAAACAGCCATCCTGAGAAAGAACCAGACTTATTTTCTAGAGCTGAAAAACTCACTACAAGCATTTTATAATGCAATATCATAAGTATTAACAGCAGAATGAACCAAGGTGAGGAAAGAGTCTCAGAGCTCAATGACTGGTTCTTCAAATCAACTCAGTCAGACAAAAATAAAGAAAAAAGAACTGAAAAATGAACACAACATCTGAGAAATGAGGAATTCTGTACAGGGACCAAATTTATCACTAATTGGTATCTCAGAAAGAGAGGGGGAGAGAACAAGCAACTTGGAAAACATATTTGAGGATAGGATACCATTCAAAAAATTTCCAAAACCTCACTAGAAATGTTGACATGAAATTTGGGAATTTCAGAAAATCCAAGTAAGATTCTATGTAAGATAATCACCCCCAAGTCATGCTAGTCCTTATATTCTCAGTATGAATATAAAGGGAGCCAGAATAGCAAAGCAATCCCAAGAAAAAAAGAGCAAAGCCGGAAACATCACATTACCCAACTTTATACTACAAAGCTACAGTAATAAAAAAAATGAAAGCATGGCACTGGTACAAAAACTGACACCTACATCAATGGAAAAAAACTAGAAAACTCAAAAAAGCTGCACACATACAACAGTCTGATGTTCAACAAAGTCAACAACAACAAGCAATAGAAAAATGGCTCATTCAGTAAATGGTGCTGGGATAGCTGGCTAGCCATATGCAGAAGATGAAAACCAGACACCTTCTTTCACCATATACAAAAATTAGCTCAAGATGGATTAAAGGCTTAAATGTAAGACCTAAAACTAGAAAAACCCTAGAAGAAAACCTAGGAAGTACCATTCTGGACATAGGATTTGGCAAATATTTCATAGTAAAGAGTCCAAAAGCAATTGCAACAACAAAAAATAGAAAAGTGGGACTTAATTAAACTAAAGAGCTGCTGTATATCAAGATAAACTATCAACCAGGTAAACAGAAAACCTGCTGAATGGGAGAAAATATTTGCAAACTGTGCATCCAACAAAGGTCTAATATCCAGAATGTATAAGAAACAAACAAATCAACAAGCAAAAACAAATAACTCCATTAAAAACGGGTAAAAGACATGAACAGAGACTTCTCAAAAAAGACATACGTGCAGCCAACAAGCATATAAAAATGCTCCACATCACTAATCATGGGAGAATGCAAATCAAAATCACAATGAGATACCATCTTACACCAATCAGAATGGCTATTACTAAAAAGCCAAAAAATAACAGATGCTGGTGAGTTGCAGAGAAAATAAAACACTTTATATCTTTTTGTGGGAATGTAAATTACTTCAGCCACTATGGAAAAGAGTTTGAAGATTTTTCAGATAGCTTAAAATAGAGCTACCATTCAACCCATTCCATTACTGGGCATATACCAAAAGGTATATAAATCATTCTACCATAAAGACACATTCATACACATGCTCATTGGAGCACTATTCACAATAGCAAAGACATGAAATCAAAGATACCCATCAACAGTGGACTCAAGAAAGAAAATGTGGCACATATACCATGATAATCTATGCATCCATTAAAAAAACAGAATTATGTCTTTTGCACAACATGGCTGCAGTTGAAGGACATTCCTAAGTAAATTAATGCAGGGACAGAAAACCAAATACTGCATATTTTCACTTGTAAGTGGGAGTTAAATATAGACTAAATATGAACACAAAGAGGGGAACATCATGGCAATGAGGGGCTCATAATTAGGATTGCAGCATATAGATGGACACTGCCTAGGTGCAATACCAACTTCACCATTTACCAACAAAGTGACTTCCTACAAAACTCTTATATTACTGTGACTAACATAAGTACTTAATACTGCACATAGGTCAATACAAGACATAATAGCCAATAAATCTCTAAGTGTTTAAATTATAGGAGGGTAAGCTAGAGATACTTGATACGTAGAGGTTTGATCTAGAGGTTTGCCCCATAAAGCAGTACAGGTAATACCAGTAGGTCATACTCTATCTGCTTATAGAACTAATAGAAATTATTCACATACTTTATTATTACCCATTACTTGAAGCTAAAATTGCTACAGATTTTTCAAGAACTGTGGGAACATGCTTGGTCCATAGGGTCAGTTCTAATTCCAAACAATTGGTAGAAAAAAAAAATCTGAATTATTTAACTGGCTTACCTGCTTCCTTTCTCATCTCAAATCTTCAAATCCTCAAAATGCCTTATTTGAAAATGAAACTTGTTAGAATCCAAGAAAAAGATGAACATTGCTGGCATGATGGATGTGCTGGCCTGTAGTGATGGCTCAGGCTTAAACTTCAAGTTTAGAATTTCTTTTTTCACATGCACAAACTCAGACATTGCTCTGAAGGTTAGACACTGTGACAGGTGCCTGATTTTACAAGGTGTTCTATCCCAAGCAAATTATTGTGTAGGAATCTCTACTATATTCATTAGGCTTCTGTATCGCATAAAAATTACCACCTCTGACTTCTTTACCCAATGAAAGAGGTTTTCTGGGAGTGCTTGATGTGTGGCTGAGAGAAGAGAGTGATCTTTTGTATCAGGGATCTGGAGGAATGTAATTGCAGGGCTGCTAGCTATAACTTCTCCTTCCACAGGCTAAAACAGAACAGCCCTGTCATCTAGTTTGAATTCTTAAGTCCCATTTGGTGTCTAGAAAGTTTTACTGTAGTCTTGCAATTCTGTTATTTATACTAATGAGTATTTTTTAACTGAAACAGTTTGAATAGAATTTTTGTCAGCTCCTTCCAAAAATAAAATGCCTTTCAAATAAAAGCTAAAGTAACATTTAATTTAAAACTAGTTAAGTCACATTATCTGAAAATACATCTTTAAATCTTCATATGGAGTTTTATTCATGTCATTATTCATACAAGCATGTCTCCTCCTCTTTCCAACAGATTCTCATTACTAGAATTATCATTTTATCACTCACATTTCCCTCAGACATAATTTCTTCATTACAATATTTAGATGCGTTGTTTATTTTTTAGTCACTTTAGTTAGAGTGTTGTTCAAAAATATTCTATTCCTTAAATCCCCTCTCAATAGAGGGATTATATTTCTCATCTCACCAGCTTTGGCTTGACTGAATGACTTGAAGGGTGAGCTTAGGGTAAGGCAGGTAACACAGGACTGTGAAAATTCAAGATAAGATCCTGTCTTTATTTACAATTTTGATACTTTGTTCATCCAGGAACTTTTTGCCTTAAAAATGCACTGAAACATTTTTTTTTAATCCTGCTTACTAAGTTTGTTGGCAGCCCCTTAAATTTTGTCCCCCAGATGAGTGTCTCACTCACCTCATCCTAGTCCCAGCCAAGTTTGGACCATCTGAGTGCTAATGGATATGGCAATGGGCCACTCCTGAGCCTTGGCAGTTAAAGACTTCTTGTGGTGCTGCTGGCTGTCTTGGCCCTCTGCCATCATCAGGAGGAGAGCATGTGCTAGAAAGCTGGCTGGTCCCAGGAGGTTGACAGACACATGAGACAGACCTAGCCCTAAAGACCTGTGATGAAGCAGAAGCCCCCAGCCTGACAAAGACCCCCTGACTCTCTGCAACCCTGCAAACCCAACATTCTCAAAATCACACTCAGAGTCTCCTGGTTCCTGCTGGCAAATATTAACCTGACCCTGCTACTTTTATTTATTTATTTTTCTTCTCTCTCTCTCTGGTAAAAATCTATTTTCTTTCCTTTTCTCTCTTTCTCTCCCTCTTTCTCTCTCTTTCTTTCTTTCTTTCTTTCTTTCTTTCTTTCTTTCTTTCTTTCTTTCTTTCTTTCTTTCCTTCTTTCTTTCTTTCTTTCTCTCTTTCTCTCTCTCTCTTTCTTTCTTTTTTCATTTATTTTTCTGATGGAGTCTCTCTATGCCACCCAGGCTGGAGTGCAGTGGCGTCATCTCGGCTCACTGCAACCTCTGCCTCCTAGGTTCAAGTGATTCTCCTGCCTCAGCCTCCGGAGTAGCTGGGACTACAGGTCCCCACCACCGCACCCAGCTAATTTGTTGTATTTTTAGTGGAGATGGGGTTTCACCGTGTTAGCCAAGATGGTCTTGATCTCCTGACCTCGTGATCCTCCCACCTTGACCTACCAAAGTGCTAGGATTTACAGGCATGAGCCACCGCGCCTGGCCAAAAATCTATTTTCTTCTACTGTAAAAAACAACATCTCACTGGTGGCAATCCAAGGCGATATGAAAAAAGTTCCAGCAGCTTGAATTAAAAGATACGGTAGCTGTTTGAAAGTAAGAATATTTTTAGGTCCTGATTTTATTCTCTACAGAAAGCATGCTGACTGAAATGTTCAGTCGCCAGGGAGAGTCTATTCTCTAATGCCCACTATCTTGTGCCCAAGGAGGATTATGGAAACTGAAGAGTCTTCCAGAAGCAAAATCAAAAGCCATGAAAAATAAAGGTCCAGGGAATATTCTCAGGGAGTAAATCTGGGTCAGTAAAAATAAATAATCCATAGCTCAGGGTAGCAGAACCTCACATTAACCCATGGATTTTCAGAATTGCTACGGACCATTAAATATTATGTGCTTACCATTGTGATTATATCCCTTTTCTTCACCATTGTAAATCGAGTATGTGGAATATAGATAATTTTTACTTTTATTTCACAGGTATTGGATCAAAATAATTCTTCTCCAGACCTGACTAAGATTATGAGACCCTGGGCCTCAAGCCTGATACAATGTGACTTTTTTGGTATCCTGTGGAGGAAATGAGTTTAATTGACTTCTGAAAGAAAAATGAATAATTGTTACCAAGACAATGGACTGTGGTAGTGTGGAATATTATTCTTGATTCTTCACATTATTGCCTCTTACATGTGATTGTGACATGCACCAGATGGGAAGATGCAAACACATTCGTGTTCAGCTACTAAAATGAGGGCAAACATTATAGTGAGCCAGTATTGATTCAATATCTGAAGACATATTTTTCTGTCTACTCAGTGTGTTCCAAGATTACCATGAAATTATGTCCCAAGTAGATGCTAGTCCAAGAAAAAAAAATGTAGGTAAACATTAAGGAGAGATGATCCCAGTTAAAAGCCTATTACCCAACAACCTCCAATGTGTAGTGGAGCCATCCCTACTAAACTGTACACCAGTGAGGGAGAAAAAATAAATGATAGTTGTTGCAAGACATTGAGTTTTGAAGTTGTATATTATGTAGTGTACATATAGCAGTAGCTGACTCAAACACAAGAGTTAACTAAATTTCTATGAGACAGTTTGCTAGTATCAATAGTTATAAGGTTCTAGAAGAGTTGAACCAGGTGGCAGCATTTAACTGTCAAAGGCAAGATGGGTAAAAACTGTCATAATGGGCTGCAAGACTGAATGAAACCAGCTGGTCTTGGCATGCAGGACCAGTGACAGTGAATAACAGAACGTAGTGTTCCCAGTGAAAGACAGATGGACAGCCAATGTGGATTCGACTTTGCTTATACAACAACAACAACAAAAATCAAGAGTTGTCAATCAGAGGGCTAAGGTCATTGCCTTCATGAAGGCTTATTATCTCTCACCCAGTCTTTAAAACTGAGCCAATTCTCAGAGCAAGATTGAATGAGAAAATCCTATGCCATTTAGGATAGAAAGTGAATTGTTCCAGAAAGAATCTATCTTTTTAATATACTTCTTTTTAATTTTTGTATGTAGTAATTATACATGAGATGCTTTGATACAGGCATGACTTTTTATCTAATCCTTCACCAAATAGATCTACAGTTATTTATGAGAAATATTATACATTAGGTAAAGAAAATATTCAGATCTTACAAGAGCAATTGATTAGAAGGTGAGTTTGCACTGATAACAGAGGATCCAAAACACAAGCACAGCTCCTCTCTTAGAGTGGGATAAATGGACGTTATGAAAGGATTCTTGTACACAGTCCCCCTCGCAATGCATCAGTGGTTCCCTGGACCCACCACGTGACCTTTCCCCTGGTCTTTCATTAAATAATATAAAATAATATTTATAGCAATGAACATAATTCTCATGGTAGTTTCAAGACTTATGTAGTGAGATTATGATCAAAACAAGATGAAGCTGAAGACCCAGAAACTGCTCTTTCTTTAGTCAAAGAGTTAATTTATGAAACAAAAATATATCAGATGGTATAGGAGAGATTAATGTCACCCTCAAACTCAAAAGTAACAAGTATTCTGCAAACCCTGGAAAGACTGAGAAATAAACCCTACGAAACCGCAAGCCTCTGTCACATTAGTGACCTTTTTAATATCTAATGGTTTGGAGCCATCTTATCCCAGATATAGAACAAGTTGTTGTATGTTTCAGCTCCCACCACGAAGAGACACAGCACATGAAGATAGATCACTTTGTATTTTTCAGACAGCACATAGTAAAATTGGGAATGTGGCTTTAACCAGTGACTTAGAGGACTGCCATATTTGAGTGACTGCCAGTGAAAGGAAGAGTTCTACAGCAGGTTCAGGTTTTGATACAAGCTGCACTGCATTCAATAACAAAACCCAGTAGACTCTAAAGTCCTGATATCTGTGGTAGATCGAAATGGCATATGTTGTCTCTGGCAAGCTCTAACAGGAGAGACCTTCTGCAGATCCCTAGCATCCTCAAACAAGACCATCTGCAGCATATTTCTTTTGCCCATTCAAAAAAGCAATGCCTGACAGGCTACTGCACCTAGTCTTATTTATGTAAATAAATGATTTGAACAGAACTACCCATCGTTAGCTAGATGAACGACCGAGGCATTGATTCCATGCAATAATGTATACATTTAGGAGTGGACTTACTCAAGTGTAGAGAGCACACATTTACACACACACACACAAACACATCCACAAAAATAGAAGGTAGACTCTATATATCTACGGAGGGTATTATGGGTTGGATTGTGCCCTGGAAAGATTTGTTACATTGAAATTCTAAACCTCCCTTCCCACAATGTCTCAAAAATGTGACTCGTTGGAAATAGGACTGTGGCATATAAAACTGGTTAAGATGAGGTCACGCTGGAATAAGATGGGCTTCTAATTTAACATTACTGGTGTCATTAGGAAAAGAGAATATTTGCACATAGATATTCACACAGGGAGAATGCCTTGTGAAGATGAAGTCAAAGATCTACAATCCAAAGAAAGCTATAGAATGCCAATAAATAACTAGATACTAGAAAAGAGGCATGGAACAAATTCTCCTTCACCACTCTAAAGAAATCAAAACTGGGGCCGGGCGCGGTGGCTCACGCCTGTAATTCCAGCACTTTGGGAGGCCGAGGCGGGCGGATCACGAGGTCAGGAGATCAAGACTATCCTGGCTAACACGGTGAAACCCCATCTCTACTAAAAATACAAAAAATTAGCCGGATGTGGTAGCAGGCGCCTGTAGTCCCAGCTACTCAGGAGGCTGAGGCAGGAGAATGGCGTGAACCCGGGAGGCGGAGCTTGTAGTGAGCCGGGAACGCTTCAGTGCACTCCAGCCTGAACGACAGAGCGAGACTCCGTTAAAAAAAAAAAAAAAGAAAAGAAAAAGAAAAGAAAAAGAAATCAAAATTGTCCAACACTCCAATCTTGGACCTCCAGCCTCCATAGCTTTGAGACAGTATATTTCTGTTGTTTAGGCCACCCAGTTCATAGTCCTTCATTATGACACCCTTAGCAAATAAATAATGGTTTCACTGACCTCTCCCTTTCTCACATCATACATACGGCTTTGTTCATATACGTTTGGCAAATTCCTGTGACTAGTTAATGGACAAGGAGAAAAAACTGGATAGATTACTTTGATATATTGATTGGACCTGCTAAAATTAGTGTAGCCTACCTAATGATAAAGAGATAGTGTCCTATTTAACAAGACTGTAGTCAGAAGTAAAAATACATCAAAAATTCCAGGCAGTGTTGAAGGGCCTGGGTGAATGTTCAGTTTCCTGAAATGAAAAATATTAGAACATGAAAGAGAAAGTGGTTTGAAGAAGACTTATGGAACTTTAGGCCTTTTCCGCAAGGATAGAGGGACACAATAAGATCAGGGACACAATAACAATTCCATGGAAGCTAAAAATATGTTTGCTACCTGCTCATTTTTCTGGTAAAGATAAAGGATATAGTTACTTTACCAACTGGGATAATTTTCTTGATCTTCATGGGGAACAGGTGTTAGTGCTATATAATCAGAAAGTGAGAAGAAATTCTGTAATGTAGAGGACTTACTGGGGTGGCTGTTGATGCTTCCATACATAGACATAAGACTGTTAACGGTTGTGACAACCATGACCTGTCACAGGAAAAATAATCAAGGCTCAGATCCCTCAGAAATGAAAGCCTCAGTCACTTAACTGCAAAAGCAACCTAGATCAGCAGAAATACTGGGTAAGGGTGAGAGTGAATCTAGAATTGTGGTAGAGGAATAAAATGATGACAATTAATTATGTCCTTATGAATACCTGAAGCATGGGGATTGCAAATTTCTATTTGAAGGTTTTTTAGAGGCACCATTTCTAGTTGCAATCCTGAAGAGTCACTGACTGGGAAGAGTGAACTCAATTTGGGTGCGTTGAAATGGGAGTAACTGAGCAGAGGTACACCCATTTTATCTTGGTTCCTTTTTACCCCAAAACAGTTCCAGTATATTTCAGTGGCTTCCTAGCTTTTTATGACTAAAAGTGTTCACTGTTTGTAGAAATATGTTCAACTGATACACAGAAATATCAGCATGTCAACACACCCCATTGCTTATTCTCAACAAATGAGGACCAGAAATTGAACAAAAAAAATCTAGCTCCCTTAGATTTTGGGAGACATTTTGAGCTCAGTGCTTTCTTAAAGGGACACCTGTGGGATTTAGTGTCAAGTTCTCAAGGCAGTGACCAATTTATTAACATTCTTTACTAAGTTTCCCTTCTTTTTCTCACTTTCTCACTCTTTTACTATGTTACTTCTGGGCAAGGAAACACCATGAAGTACTTTAGTAAACCTTCTAAGTTCGAGACATATTCTTTCTTGTACATTTGATGTTTCTTGAGTTCATTCACTAAATAAAATACTTACACCCAAATCATTGTGTCAGGATCTACCTTTGAGGGACTCTAAATATTGAGAGGCATAAAGCTTAGCTGGAAAACAGAACTAATGCCATTACCACGATTCCATTATTTTATTGCCTAAGATCAGCAGATACGTGAGGTCATGTCTTCCCTAGAAGGATGTAGCAGAATTGTTACTGAAATGATACAGAAATGCTCACAGATATTTTAAGAAAAACAACTTGCAGCTGCTTCTAACTATTGCAATGCAAATGAAAGTGACACTTTGATATCTATTTTCATCTGTTGTGTTTACAAAGACAAAAGAGTTGATAATATCCAGTATTGACAAACGTGTAAAAGCATACTTGTACGCTTATAGTAAGAGAAAGAACTTAATGCTTCATTTCAGAAAGCAATTTTGCTGGCAGTTTGCAATCAAACTAAAATGCTTCAGTCAAGTCTCTCATGTTGAACGTCTATCCTTAAAAATTTGTGTACCTGGCATTTGTCTATTTGTCTTTATTCTACTTTTATTTTTCTCTGCTCTGTTGGAAGCCTCAAACCTTCGTTTCTTCATAGATGCCCCCAGTGGAAGGTATTAGGAGTCTGGGAAATGGGAAAAAGGAATAAGCCCTGTGGCCCTCTCTTTTACCTTCTGGATGTGAATCAATGCAGCCTTGGTAGCATAATTTTGCTGGAGGTTACTAATGTTGCTCATCATTCAGTTACTTTAAATATTTCCACACTATTATAGTATAAAAATTGTGTGGGCCTCTAGATTTTTGGAAGGCAGTGGTGGTGTGGTAGAGAGTTGTAGGGTTCTTCCCAAGCAGCCAAGACAGATGTAGAATGTCTTCCTGCTTCAGCAGCAGAGCAACTAGGCAATCTGTATCTTTTAGCCTAAGGATGGTAGGGGTTTATTGAATGTATTAATCTCTGAATAACCTCAGTTTTTTATTTTTGCTTTCCCAGTTCTTGTGACAAATTTGCAATCAATTCTGTTTTAAATATTCTCTATTTGAAATACACAGAGTAGTTCTGTTTTCTAGAAAAAGCTTTGACTGCCAGCCTTCCTCTCCCTATTTCTACTTTATTATTCTTCCATGTGTTGGCCCACTTTTTATTCTGCCTTCTCTTTTATTGCTTATCCTCTGAATGTTTGCTTTCCTCAGGGATCAATTACTGGCTTACTTTTCTTTGTGCTATGCACACACACCCTGGGTGACAGAAATCACTCTCCTGCCTAAATACTGAATACTCCCTCATCTTTAACTCATGTCAAATCCCACTATGAGGTCAAGACTGTCAGCTAAAAATCTCCTCTTGGCATTACAAATATAAATATTCAAATTGATATTATCATCTTCACAGTGTGCCATCAGTATGTTTGTTCTGCAATCTCAGCCAGTTGTTCACATCTATCCGGTTTCTTAAGTTAACATACTGGATTTCTTTCCTTGTGATTTGCTCTTTTTTACTCTCTCAATGCAATCTTTCACCAAGTTCCATTGCTTCTGGTTGCTAAGTAGTTTTTGAATATCCTTCCCTGCTGCTTTGTTATTCCCTTCTTGATTTGTTAACATCTTGTCGCAGAATTCACTCTTCAACCCCTCTAATCACCTGCAGCATTTCTACCAGAATAATTCGACAAATTAGAGATTTAATCGCATACTTTTTTTTGTAAAGTATTCTATTGAGTTGCCAAAGTCCTTGGGAAGGGTTCAAAGTCTTCTAGTGGGGCAGAAAAGACAATCAAGGACACAACACTTATCTCCCTTGCTTGGCTTTCTTACTAGCCACTGCTACCTTTGCACTTCTTGGTCCAGTCTCATTAAATCATTTGCATTTCCATTAATGTTCATTGACCTCTCCTCTGTAGTGCTTATTTTATCTCTTTTACTTCTGCCTGAAATGTTCTTCTCAACTTCATTTCCCTGGCTAACTCTCAGCCATCCCGGATCATCTCAGGCATTCAGGCATCTAGGAAGTCTTTCCTATGACACATCGCTTCTGTGTCGGTACCTCTGGATGCACAAGTTTCTCATAGCCCTTGTTATTCTGCACTTTACTCGCTGGCTTACTGATCTGCCTCTCCTTATAAACCCTAAGCACATTGGGGATTTTACAGCCCCCAGCTCAATATGGAATTTCATTGTAGACATTCAATACAACTCTTTCATGGTGTTGTTTCTTTTTTTAAAAAAATTTGGTAATATAACTTCATTGTGTTTTTAAAATTATGGTCATTTTCATACTGATCATTAGTTTTCCTATTTAATGAATATGCTATATTTCAAAGTGATAATATTTCCTTTAAAACCAGAATTGATCACTTTTTCTTGTATGTCTGCCTATAACTGCATACTGAGAAATAAATTTCTGAGGTGGGTAGGGGGAAGATTTTTACCTGAGCCACTTCAATTACCAGGCCCAAAAAGATATTTATAATGTGACAGTAGTCACATCTCCCTCCCACCTTGAACACAATAATTAATTCTTAAAGCCACTTTCTATGTGGGCTCTAAACTAACTGATGCCAAGTAGCCATAAAATGCCATGTACTAGAAATCATGACTCATACCCTGTAGTACAAAAATGTATAGCCAACCACTAATCACTGTTATTTTTCTTAAACCAGTGAGAGTTCCTCTCAAAGAACTTTGTATCAGCCCACTTCCTATCCTCTTTTGCATTTAAAAACCTGCTTGTAATAAAGGCCAAATAAGCGACTTTAAAGTATGTCCCTAGTAGGTCTCTTTATTTTAGTTCAGGTAAACTGTTTAAAATTATATTTTGTGGCTCAGCTTATTTCTTTTTGGTTGACATTCTTGAAAGAGCAAGAAGGGTTCAAAGTGATCCCCCCCACCTCCAGCCACAAACCATCAGACATTCCTTCCAGATTCAGCACCTACCCAGCTGTGAACCCCTTGTGTTCTTGCAGCTTGAAAGGAATAGTTGAATGTAAGGGATGAGTCCTGCTCTTTAGTTGGAGGTTTAGACTTTGCTTGAGCTATTCTTTTCAAATCTCTTTGCTTAAAATGGAGGATTTCCACCTTTGCCTAATGGGCAGCACATTTGAGTTTCAGGGAAATTAAAAAAGAAAAGAAAGAAACTTGACTTTCACTGTTTCTGCCTCACATCAGAATGGTCAAGGTACTGGGTCAAGGTACTGGCAATTTGGTGGTTTAACTTTATATAGCAGGCTTTTAAAATTGCAACTGCTTTCCATTGCATGAAATTGGGACTTAGGTTCTTATTTGTGACCAATTTTTATTAATTCCAAACAGAAAAGTGCATAAGGGTGAGTTATGTCACCTCAAAACTATATTGGACAATAGCTTCCCCTGACCCAGTTGGTTTATCTAGGTGACTTAGGGACTTTTCAGAGTTTTCAAGGGTGTTTTCCAGGATGTGATATGACCTCATAGGACATTCCTCACCAGAACATTTTTTAAGGGAACATTTTTTAAGGGATGCTTTTTTTTTTTTTTTTTTTTTTTTTGTCATTCAGGTGTGTATAATGTAAGGATTTGTCCCCCATAGCTCAGGCAACCCTTCTTCCCTGTGGCAATTGGAGGCAGTCTGAGACATGTCAGAGAATGATTCCTCACTCTTGGCTGACACCAAAAGAGTGATGCTCATAGGCACCACACTTCCACCCAGAATGGACTCTGGGACATGGTCACAGCCGAAAAGCTCCTTAATTATTTTGAAAATCTAGCTTCAAAATACGAGTGGCCTTATAAGGTACACCCTCTTTTAGAAACAACAGTTGGCTTTATGTACAACACTTTGGAGCATCCTCTTGTAAATATCAAGGAAAACAGACCCACATGAACCAGGATAATCATAGTCAGAAATGGTGAAAATGAGGCTCTTTTCAAATGCCTAAAATCATTTATTTGTGGGCACAACTATAAAGAGCTGGTTTATCGCCAGACAAATTGAGTAAGACCCTTACTTCTAATGGCACCTAGAAGCTTCTAAATTTTTTTCTGAGAAAATTGCTTATTCAAGAGGTAAACAAAATGATACCTGAATCTATTTCTGAATTTTATGATGCTAAAGGCCTTCTCTCTTCCACCTGCAACTGCTCCTCCTTCTACCCCTGTTCTTTTATACTCTCTTTTATCTAAACTCCCTTGTCTTGACTTGCCTTTCCTACAATCACTACCTGAGGAAACCCCCAAGGTATCTTGCTACTTCCCTGAAACTTCTGTTTTGGCAGCCTCTTTCAAGGTAAAACCCACAGGAAGAGCTGAGCTTACTATTTTGTATAACCCCTGGAAAAAAATTGAACTAAAGTATATCATTTTAAGATCCATTGGGTTTCTGAAATATTTGATTTAATTGTCTGGACTTGTTCTGACCTTTATTAATTAGTTCATATGCTAATATCAGAAAGCAGGGGCACTAAATGGTTAAAAAAGTCTAACTGAAATAATCCTTAAGAAGGTTTAAAAAAAAAGCAGAATGAAGCAGACCATGAAAGGATTTACACTTCAGCTGTGTCTCTTCATGATGCCATTCCCCAGGTCTTTCCTAAAAATACAGATTAGAGGAAAATTCAACAATGTACTCAAAGACCAGGCAATTCTGTGCTTGATTATTTTGAATGGTTTGAAAAATCCTTTAAATTGTATCCCAGAATGGCACTGATGCTAGCCTCAAAGATTATCTGAATTATTCCCTTATAAATTCTACTTTCTTCAATGGCTTTCATGAGGACTTGGTTATCTTTTTTAAAGACATCAGCTTGATTGGGTAACTATATAAACCCATGAATTAGTAATCGTGAATTACTAATAATACAGATAAACTTTCTAAAACTATTCAAAAAGAAGAAAAAAGTAAGTCCTCAAAGATTAGGTGTTTGAAACTACAGCAGTGAAACCAGGCCTTTTAAGAAAAGACAGGTGCCTCCTTTTAATGATAAAAGAGATGTTTGCTTCTATTGCAAAAAGCCTTGCCATTTTCAAAAAAAGGTTGTAGAGAAATTAATTGATAGCAGAAACAACACAAAGACAGGATCCTGCAAGTGAAGAGGGTTGTTCCAAGGACCTGGTTCTTCTGACTAATATCCAAGGAGAAACTGACTTTTTTAACAAATAAAGAGCAGACACACACCCTTATGGACACTGGAGCTAGCCTTTCTGTTCTTAACCCTATCATTTAAACTGTTCCCTTTCATGAAGTAAAAAGAGTATACAAATGGTAGGGGTGCCAGGCATAGTGGCTCACATCTGTAATTTCAGTGGTTTGGGAGGCTCAAGCAGAAGGATCATTTGAAGATAGGAGTTTGCGATCAGCCTGACCAACAAAAAAATAGCCAGGCATGATGGCACGCTCCTGTAGTTCCAGCTATGCAGGAGGCTGAGATAGTAGGATCTCTTGAGTCCAGTAGTTCAAGGCTGCAGTGAGCCATGGTCCTGCCACTGGGTTCCAGCCCTGTCTGTAAAAACTAAAGTTTAAAACAGAACAAAACAAATGTATCTAATCAACCTGTGACTTCACATAAGTCCAAACCCTTAGAATCCCAGGTAGGCTCATTTAGTGGCCTTAATTTCTTTCTGGTTAGTCCCTCAGCTCCCATATACTTTTAGGCAAACAATTTTTGGAACTCTACCATGCATATATTTTTGTTCCCCCAGTGAGGGAAATGTATTCAAATTGGAACAGAAGGAGCAAACAAAACTACTACAAAACAATAATAAAACTGAAATATTAGGTTGGTGCAAAAGTAATTGCTATTTTGGACTGTGCATTTTAAATCATTATAACTAGGCTCAAACACATCTTTATTAATAAAAATAGGAACCATTACAATTAACATATTTTTGCCAACAAGAAATAAGTTCGTTATTCCTGCAGTGTAAAAATCCATGCTTGAGGATTCGATGAACTCTTGGGAAGCATATTCTGCATCCTGCTGTTTGTGGAAGTGTTTTCTATGCAAAAAGTTGTTGAGATGCTTAAAGAAGTGCTAGTCAGCCGGCAAGAGGTCAGGTGAATATGGCGGATGAGGCGAAGCTTCGAAGCTCAGTTTTAAGCGTTGGTTGTGCAGTGTGCGGTCAGGCATTGTCATGGAGAATAATTGGACCCCTTCTGTTAGCCAATGCTGGCTGCAGGCATTGCAGTTTTCAGAGCATCTCATCGATTTGCTGAGGATACTTCTCAAATGTAAAGGTTTTGCTGGGATTCAGAAAGCTATAGTGGATCAGACCGGCAGCAGACTACCAAACAGTGACCATATTTTTTGGCGCAAATTTGGCCTTGGGAAGTGCTTTGGAGCTTCTTATCTGTCCAACCACTGAGTTGGTCATCACTGGTCATTGTATAAAATCCACTTCTTGTTGGACATCACAATTCGATCAAGAAATGGTTCATTGTTGCTGTGTAGAATAAGAGAAGACAACACTTCATTTTTTTTTTTTTCACTCAGGTCGTGAGGCACTGACTTATGGAGCTTTTCCACCTTTCCAATTTGCTTCAAATGCCAAACGACCGTAAAATGGTCAATGTTAATTTCTTCAGCACTATCTCTTGTAACCGTAAGAGGATCAATTTCAGTGATTGCTCTCAATTGGTCATTGTCAACTTCTGATGGCCAATCACTACACTCCTCATCTTCAAGGCTTTCATCTCCTTTGCAGAACTTCTTGAACCACCACTGCACTGTATGTTCGTTAGCAATTCCTGGGCCAAATGCATTGTTGATGCTTTGAGTTGTCTCCATTGCTTTAAGACCCAGTTTGAACTCGAACAAGAAAGTCACTCGAATTTGCTTTTTGTCTAGCATCATTTCCATAGTCTAAAATAAATATAAAATATACAAGTAATAAGTTATTAGCAAAAAAACTTAAAGCAAGAAATGCCCATTAAAATGATGAATAACATACCACATTTATTTAAGCATGTATTCCAATAGCCAATGGCAAATTTCAAAAATGCAAAAACAGCAGCAATTACTTTTGCACCAGCAAAAGTGTTGGATATAAACACAGATCCAACAATTTCTTTTTCTAAACTTGGACTAACAAATTACACTGATGACTTACTAAAAATTCACAAGACTATTTATGATCCTTATCCTTCACTGATAATGGTAAAATAGATTCAGCAAACCTCATTCAAGTGGAAGTAAACTTAAATAAACATTTATCCAATATCAGTCAATACTTGTTAAGGCCTGAAGCAATTGAAGGAACCAAACCCATAATAAAATATTATATAAAAAAGGACATAATTATACTTTGCACTCATGTAATACCCAGATCCTTCCCTCAGAATGTGGGGGTTGAAACTTTGTACAATATTTCAGACCTATAAACAACATTGTTGATACTGACTGGATGCCCAAAGCATCCAGTGGTATAAAACCTCTATTCTATTGGTATTCTATTGATAGCAATTCTTTCTGAAAGTGGGATATTTACTGCGGTTGATTTATGCAGTATTTTCTTAAGTATTCCAGCAGACTCAGAGAGCTAATACTTGTTTGCTTTTACTTGGGATGACCACCAGTACACCTAGGCTGTGCCACAAGGTTGCACTGAGAGCCCTACCTATTTTTCTCAAATATTGAAATCTGACTTGGCTGACGTACATTTCTTAGGGAGATATATGTTCATCCAATATATGTATGATCTTTTCCCTTGTTCCCTGAATACGCAAACCTGTAAGAATGATAACATGATCTCTTAAAACAATTGTCATATAAGGGACATAGCCTTTCTGGAGAGAAACTCTAATTTCGCCATGCTGAGATAAAATAATTAGGACATTTGATTTCTAAGGAAGGATTGCTCATAAACCCAGATAGAAATAAAGGCATTCTGCCTTCCCTAAGCCCTCAACAATAAAGCAATTTCAAAGATATCTGGATTGGCTGGATACTGTCAGAACTGGATACCTAATTTTTGGTAATACAGGCTTTAATCACCCTCCCGAAAGTGGATCAGTGTGATCCTCTTTTTTGAATTCCAGAAAGACTGAAAACCACACAAATTATCAAGGATAGTCTTACAACTGCCCCGCCTTAAGGAATCCCAATTACAGCTTTCTGTTTACCCTGTTCTTTTATGAAGATCAGAGAAATGCTTTGGGACATCGACTGTTTGTATATTATAGCCAATAAATTGAGGTAATTGCTAGAGAAATGCCACCTTGCTTAAGAGTGATCTTTGCTACCACCTCACTTTAAAACTGTTGAGGAAATAGTTTTGAAATCTTATCTCACATCTGTTTCCCACTCAATGGAAACCATTCTGTACTCACATTATACCCAACATTACTCTGTTAATAGACTTATTTTCCATGAAGTTCTTCTTTCCTCACCTTAACATAACTATTTTCCCATGTAATGATCTTAATCTTTGTTTTTATTTTCAGCTCTTAATTTCAGGGGTACACATGCAGGATGTGCAGGTTTGTTACATAGGTTAATGTATTCCATGGTGGTTTAGCACAGATCAACCCATCACCTTGGTATTAAGCCTAGCATCCATTATTTATTTTTCCTGATGCTCTTCCTCCTCCCACCCCAACCCTCCAACTGGCCACAGTGTGTGTTATTCCCCACCATATGCCCATGTGTTCTCACAGTTCAGCTCCCACTTATAAGTGAGAACATGCAGTGTTTGGTTTTCTGTTCCTTCATTAGTTTGCTAAGGATAATGTCTTCCAGCTTCATCCATGTCCCTGCAAAGGACATGATCTCATTCATTTTTATGGCTACATAGTATTTCATGGTGTATATGTACCACATATTTTTCATCCAGTCTATCATTGATGAGCATTTGGGTTGATTCCATGTCTTTGCTATTGTGAAAATTGCTTCAGTGAACATATGCATGCATGTATCTTTATAGGAGAATGATTTATATTACATTGGGTATATACCGAGTAATGGGATTGCTGGGTCGAATGGTATTTCTGGTCTAGGTCTTTGAGGAATCACTACACTTTCTATCGCAATGGTTGAACAAATTTACACTCCCACCAACAGTGTAAAAGCATCCCTTTTTCTCCACAGCCTTGCCAGCATCTGTTGTTTCTTGACTTTTTAATAATCGCCATTCTAACTGGCATAAGATGGTATCTCATGGCAATTTGATTTGCATTTCTCTAAAGATCAGTGATGTTGAGCTTTTTTCCATATGCTTGTTGCCTGCATGTATATCTTCTTTTGAGAATGGTCTGTTCATGTCCTTTGCCCACTCTTTAATGGTTTTTTTTCCTTGTAAATTTGTTTAAGTTCCTTATAGATACTGGATATTAGACGTTTGTCAGATTAATAGATTGCAAAAATTTTCTCCCATTGTGTAGGTTTTCTGTTCTCTCTGATGATAGTTTCTTTTGCTGTGCAGAAGCTCTGTAGTTTAATTAGATCCCATTTGTCAATTTTTGCTTTTGTTGCAAATGCTTTTGGTGTCTTTGTCATGAAATCTTTGCCCATGACTATGTTGTCAATGGTATTGGGTAGATTTTCTTCTGGAGTTTTTATACCTTTGGGTTTTACATTTAAATCTTTAATCCATCTTGAGTTGATTTTTGTATATGGTATAAGGAAGGGATCCAGTTTTAATTTTTTTGGATATGACTAGCCAGTTCTCCCAGCACCATTTATTAAATAAGGAATCCTTTCCCCATTGCTGTTTTTGTCAGATTTGTCAAAGATCAGTTGGTTGTAGGTGTGCAGTCGTATCTCTGGGTTCTCTGTTCTGTTCTCTTGGTCTATGTGTCTGTTCTTGTGCCAGTACCATGCTGTATTGCTTACTGTGGCCTTATAGCATAGTTTGAAGTTGGGTGGTATGGATTTTTTGTTTGTTTTGTTTTGTTTGTTTGTTTAAACCTATGTTCTTGTACTGGTACCATGCTATATTGGCTACTGCAGCTTTACAGCATAGTTTGAAGTCAGATGGCATGAATGTTTTTTCTGTTGTTGTTGCTGTTTTGTTTGTTTATTAGGACTTTCTTGGCTATTCAGGCTCCTTTTTGGTTCCATATAAATTTTAAAATAGTTTTTTTTAAATTCTGTAAAAAATGTCAATGGTTCTAACCATTCTTTTGTCTTTGCTTATTGATGAGATGCTACATTTATAACTGCATCACCTTAATTGACCATACTATCACTCATAGACAGGGCCTAAAACAAAATACAGATAATGCTGATGTAATTTGTAATTTTGTTCACTGATGATTTATTTGAAAGATGAATCTGAAAATTATTGGGCTGATTAGACCATAGTGCCTCTAACTGAGGTTATAGATTATACTCTATATGTTATACTTTCCAGATATAAAATTATCTCAGCAGAAAGTATTGCTCACCCTAACTCATGCCTGTTAATTGGCAAAAGATAACATAACTTATATTTACACTGACGGCAGACATGCCTTCAGACATGCTATAATTTGGGGATGCTTCAGAGCAACAGGGATTTCTGACCACTTCAGGTAAAACCATCAGAGCTGGTAAACAAGTCTCTGACCTCTTGAAAGTTCTCTTCTACAGGTTGGATGTTTGTCCTCCAAACCTCATGTTTAAATTAGATCCCCAATGCTGGAGGTAAGCACTAATGGGAATTGTTTGTGTCATGGACATGAATCCCTCAAGAATGGCTTGATAACATCCTTGGAGTAATAAGTTCTTGCTCTTATTAGTTCCCAGGAGAGCTACCTGTTTAAAAAACAAACAACAACAACAACAACAAAACCCTGACACCTCCCCCATCTCTCTTTTGCTTCCTCTGTCACCATGTAACCTCTCTACATGCCAGCTCCTGTTTGCCTTCTGCCTTGAGCAGAAGCAGCCTGTAGCACTCACTAGATGCCCAGCATTCTAGCCAGCAGAATTGTGAGCCAAATAAACTATTTTTTAAAATAAATAAATCACTGAAATTCAGATATTACTTTATAGCAACACAAATGAACTCAAACACAATCCAAAAACAAAAATCTCTGGCTATCATCAAAATTCCTGGTAATTTAAAACTTGATACTCCAGAGAACAAGGGTAATCAATTTGGTGACATTGTAGCTAACAATGCAGCCCTGAAGGTTACATAAGAAAATAGATGTCTTGAAATGTCCTTACAGACTTATTATTCATTTAAAATGTTATTAAAAGAAGCATAAATAGGAGCTCTAAAGAAGGAAATAGACCTTTGAAAAGTAAACGAGGGAAGTCTTCTACAGAAACAGGCTTATTTTATGGACCTAATGATAGAACAGCTCTTCGTTCAGGGCTTCAGTTACCCTTTTTTAAAAATAATTATTATAGTTTAAGTTCTGGGATACATGTGCAGAACGTGCAGGTTTGTTACATAGGTATACACGTGCCATGGTTGTTTGCTGCACCCATCAACCCGTCATCTACATTAGGTATTTCTCTTAATGCTATCCCTCTCCAAGGCCCCCAACCTCTTACAGGCCCTGGTGTGTGATGTTCCCCTCCCTGTGTCCATGTGTTCAACTCCCACTTATGAGTGAGAACTTGTGGTGTTTGGTTTTTTTGTTCCTGTGTTAGTTTACTGAGATTGATGGTTTCCAGCTTCATCCATGTCCCTGTAATGGACATGAACTCATCCTTTTTTTGGCTGCAAAATATTTCATAGTGTATATGTGCCACATTTTCTTTATTTAGTCTATCATTGATGGCCATTTGGGTTGGTTCCAAAATTAACTCAAGATGGATTAGAGACTTAAATGTAAGACCTAAAACCATAAAAACCCTAGAAGAAAACGTAGGAAATACCACAGGACATAGGCATGGGCAAAGACTTCATGACTAAAACACCAGAAGCAACGGCAACAAAAGCCAAAATTGACAAATGGGATCTATTTAAACTAAAGAGCTTCAGCACAGCAAAATAAACTATCATCAGAGTAAAGAGGCAACCTACAGAATGGGAGAAAAATTTTGCAATCTATCCGTCTGACAAAGCGCTAATATCCAGAATCTACAAAGAACTTAAACAATTATCCCTTTTAAAGTTTGCTCACTAGCTGACTTATTAGAAAACAGACAGAATGATAGCATGGGGAAAACAATATTATTAGAAACAATCCCCTACTGTTGCTCAAAAGTTCATTCTTGCTGTAATGCTTGTCCTAAAAATAATCCTGGAAAATCCCTTCATGCTTCCTAGAAACATTTCTTTTACCTTTAGGATCCTTTGTGATATGGCAGTTGAACTTTATCCAGCTGCCTCTATCTCAGTGTTATAGGTAAGTTCTGGTGCTAATTTTTATGTTCTCTCCTTGGAGTGAAGCATTCCATGCTGATGAGCCATGACCCAAGCAGGTGGTACGTTGTTATTGGAAAACAATTATTTCATGAGGCATTCCATCTGACTTCCATAGTGGCCAAGGAACACACAATTTACTGGTCAGGTAATTTGATCCATTTACAACATTTGGCCTATATTTCAACATTTCCATTATGTCTATCCCCTCTAATCTTCTGGAGTGGTGGAAAACACCAATGGTGTAATAAAGATTCAAAAAATTCGATTAGTGAAATAACAGCAGTCCTTAACCTGACCTGGCCAAAGTTTCTCCCATTGGATCTCTTCAACCTGTGACTGACCCGATATGGTTTGGCCATGTTCTTCCCCACATCTCATCTTGAATTGTAGCTCCCATAATTCCCTCATGTCGTGGGAGGGACCTGGTGGAAGGTAATTGAATCATGGAGTGGGTTTTTCCCGTGCTATTCTCATGATAGTGAGTAAGTCCCATGAGATCTGGTGGCTTTATAAAGGAGGGTTCCCCTATACAAGCTCTCTTGCCTGCTGCCATGTAAGATGTGACTTTGCTCCTCATTCACCTTCAATCATGATTGTGAGGCCTCCCCAGCCATATGGAACTGTAAGTCAATTAAACCTCTTCCCTTTATAAATTACCCAGTCTTCAGTATGTCTTTATTAGCAGCATGAGAACAGACTAATACACACTCCATTTGGAAAGCACCAGCTCTCTCTCTTTAAAAGAATAATAGGAAGGCCCATGTCTCTAGATAAAGAAGCTTATGAACCTGTGTTCTTTAAAGGTGATCATTTTTTTTATTGCTAAAGTCTCACAAAACTACTCACTAAGAACACCACCAGATTAATAAAAGATTTCTTGAACAGCTAGCTCCATGTAGAAAAAGCCATAAAAAAAATCACATCCTACAACCTGGAGATTTTGTTTTCTAGAAATGACATCAAATAAGATTCTCTTCAATCCCATTGGAAGGGACCATATCAGGTATTGTTGACCAATTTCTGTGTCACTGAACTTAAGGGCATTGACTCATGAATTCGTCTTTCTCATTTAAAAAAAAAAAGGCAGCCCTACCAGAGTGGACATCTGCCATCACTGGAGATCTTCAACTGAAGCTGACTTGAAGTCTTCCTGACCAGAATGGCAAGCAGCTGACATCTACATTAGACTGCCTCTGCCCAGGATACTGGATCAGGATTGTATAACCAATTCTTCACAATTGTAATGCCTACCACAACTGAAATATTCGGTGTCCTATTTTCGAATTATTTATGCTTTTTGGGTTTCCTTCACACACTATGGCTATCCTCTCTTGGAGGTTTTGGCAAAATTGTCTCATATATAGTTCTTTTAATATATACTATACTTGTACTATGGCAATGGTTTGTGTGTATATACACATATGGTATATACACAAGCAAGTGCCTACAATCAGATTATGTTATATACACATACAAATGCCTATTAATGGTTTGCGTGTATGTACACAGGCAAATGCCTATAATCAGGTTTCGGTTTTTGCTTTCCCTAATAAATCTGACTACAACATCGAGGAATAATTCTTAGAAACCATTGCAACTTCTGGAACTTTGACAAGATGCTGGGTTTGCTACCATAAACCATAAACCCCCGCCCCTTTTTTTTTTTTTTTTTTTTTTTGAGACAGAGTCTCGCTCTGTCGCCCAGGCTGGAGTGCAGTGGCGTGATCTCGGCTCACTGCAAGCTCCGCCTCCTGGGTTCACGCCATTCTCCTGCCTCAGCCTCCCGAGTAGCTGGGACTACAGGCACCCGCCACCATGCCCAGCTAATTTTTTGTATTTTTTAGTAGAGACGGGGTTTCACCATATTAGCCAGGATGGTCTCGAGCTCCTGACCTCGTGATCCGCCCATCTCGGCCTCCCAAAGTGCTGGGATTACAGGCGTGATCCACCGGCCGCATAAACCACTTTTAACCACAGTGACACACTGGTATGTCCTATTCTAAATTTCACCAGTATTACTGATTGTACTCATATCACAACTTAGAAGCCATACAAAGCAGAATCTGTTTATTGAATCTGGCTGACTCATCCCAACCCGCTTGTCCTATGTTTCAGTTTAACTCATCCGAATCTTGTTTTCAAATGATTGTGTTCTTACTCAGAAATGACAGTTAAGAAAAAGTAATAATGCTGTTAAAAATTAAAAGAAAAACAATCCCTTGTGCTATGAGGACTCAATCTAACCTTGCTCTAATGTTTCTAACTCATGGTTTAATAATGCCCCCAAAACTATGTACTCCAATATAATATTCTCACCTGTGCTCCATCAGGACTTATTTTCACCCGTGGAGGAGATCACCATCCATGGGTCTATAAATGTGTAAGGGCATGGAATTATAAATAGCACTGTCTCTTAGGATATTTGGCCACCACTCTCTGTATGTATAGCTTTGAAGAAACTCAACAGTGGACTGGTTTCCTCAAACTTTTCCGTAGACACGACCACCAATGTATTTTAGACAGAGATTCTATTTCGAGGAAAATCTGTTAATTATCTACCTGACCATCAAGAAAATAGCTCCATGAATTTTATTGGAAGAACAGTTTTTCCTTGGTGGGGTGTTTTTTTTTTCGCATGAACAATATTTAGAAATATTTTTGTAAGCTCGGGAAATATTGCTGATGAAACTGCTGCCTCCACTGCAGCTCAAGAAAAATCTGCTGATTCGCTGGCTAAGGTTGCTCTAGACAATCACATTGCCTCAGATTATATATTAGCTAAACAAGGAGGCATACGTATGGTGGGAAATACTTGTTGTGTATACATACATACTTCTTATGAAGCAGAAATTCATCTAGGAAAAAATTTAAGAGAAGCCATTTGGTTACAAGTCTCTAAAGAAGAACCAAAATTGAATTTTCTTCATGTTATTTTTTAGTCGGCTCCCTAATGGATAGGTTCTTTGTGTTGTTCTGGCCTACAAAGTCTCTTTCCAATTGCAATTCATGTTTGCATTATATTTCTACTATTCAAACTGTTGGTGCTACGGATAGCTCATTGCATTACTTCTTCCAAGAAAACTAAAATCATGGTATTCCAAAGACTAGAGATAATTCAAGTGACAGCAGCTATATAAATCAATGACTTGAGCGAGTCTCATTTTTGTTAATCTGTGATGCCATCTCAATTCAGCCTTAGGGTGCACTTGAAAAATACCTAATTGAGATAGCTTCTCTTCTTCCTTGATGTGGGACAGGACTATCCAGGAGTGAGCCTTTCCAGCAATGAAGGACAATTTGGCACTTGAACTTTGATAATCAATGCTTCCGAGAAGAAAGATTTTGATCAAAAGAAACTTGAGGAAGAAAAATGAGAAAAAAAGAAGCCTTTTTTTTTTAATCTGAGGAATTTAATCCCTTTTAAATTATCAGATTTGGAGAAGCATTTAAAATGTGAGTAGTCACATCTGCCTCCCACCTGGAGCTAAATAATTACCTCTTGAAGCTACTTGCTATGTGGGCTCCAGACTAAGAAGTGCTAAGTAGCTATAAAATGCCATGCACTGGACATCATAACTCAGGCCCTACAGTTCAACAATGTACACCCAATCACTAATCATCCTTTTTTCTGTAAACCAATGAGAACTCCTGTCAATCAACTTTGTACCAGACTGCTCTTCGTCCTCCTTTGCCTTTAAAAATCTGCTTGGAGCAAAGGTCAAATAGATCACTTCCCTAGGCAATTTGGAAATGTGTCCTGAGCATCTGTTCTCACTTTGTTTCAAGTAAACTCCTTAAAATGATATTTTATGCTGCAGCTTTTTCCTTTTAGTTCAACACGTCTCAGTAAACATTTGTAATATTCTGGAAGTTCAGAAAGATACAATTATGAGTTCTTCCATTTTGTAGACTGCTCTTGGATACATAATTAATTCATTTGAAAATAGTAATAAGATAATTAAAAGCTAAATTCTGAGTCTATGGTAACAATTTCATAAGGAACACAAAGGAGAATTTTTGTAGTTGGCCCATCAAAGCCGAATTTGAAGGATGCTATTTGCCAGGCATCAGACCTAGAGGATATTATGTAACTTCTTTCTGAGTTTCCTCATCTGTGAAGTGGTTGTAATTATTATGACCTCCTCAAGGATATTGTGAGGATTAAATAATATACTGTACATAAACTTGTCAGACAACTTTGGCACATAGCCAGCATTCAGTAAAACATAAATGTTATTTTTATAAGACTTGAGATGGACTTAAAAATATATTACGAATTGGTTAAACATAGGGAAAAGAGAAGGAACTCCAAGGAGAGATTGACTCATGCAAATAAAAGCTCTTAAGGACTGCTGCAAACCAAGGAGACAATAATTCCAGTAGAGGGTGCAATTGGAGAGGAAGGGAAACGAACATGAAGAAATGGGGCATCTCAGATTTGGATATACAAGACAGCTGAGCCAGAGTGCTTACATTTCACAAGATTGGTGATTGTTTTCCAACATTTCTTTTAAGTAGAAAATAAAATCACAAGGTTTAAGGAGGGTTGTTATCCTGGCATTATAAAGACTGTTTGCATATTTCTAACTGTAAAAGAAAGAAAAGAAATATTATAAGACTTGAATAATTGGTGCAGACTGTTTCTTTGAACAAGCAGCCACACTATTTACCCTGAATCATGAGTCCCTTAATTGTGGGTTGTGACTTTGTGCTAAAGGGCAGACTGGTATGTTTTCTCCTTAACTGTGAAATTCTTCACTTTTATTATTTCTCACTTGCACTTTAAAACCCTGTAAATGTTATATTATTACACTATTATGTAACACAATAGCTGCTATCTCTCCCTTCTCTATAATGATCTATGCAAGGCATCTTCTGTCAAATAAGTCAGGACCTCTTGCCAGACGAGAGTGATTCATCAAAACTGCTGAGCTTTTTCATAATCGTTATTCTCACAGTGTATTACAAAGGGCCATTAACAGCGTTTAATTTTTCAGATTGGGTACAGCATGGCAACTTTAGTTTATGTTTCACTGCTTCTCTTTGTAAAGAAATCAATCGTTTTAAAACTGAACTACTCATGACAAACATGCTAGATTCATTAGCATCTGCCCTGGTTGTCTGTATGGAGGTTATATTGCAAACCTGATTTGCATTTTTATCTGCAAGGAGCACAAGGTTTGAACTGCCTAAATGTTTACTTAATTATTGCTCCCATTCTCTTCCACACCTATTTACCTCAAGCCCTCCACAAGCAGAGAGCAAGACTAATTAGTATCTAATTGATATTTTTTCAATAGTGAAAGAGAATCACTTTCAATACAAAGAATATCAGTATACGCTGTAGGGAACACTTAATCAGTCATAATAGCAAATATGGGAGTATTTGTTAGGTTTCCAAAATGATGTATTTTAATTAAGAAGCACCTGGTTGTCTCTACTAAATTTTACTTCTTAAATAGGAAGAGTTTATACCACTCATTTATTTTTTTACACCTTTCCTGGGAGATTATTTTGCAATCACTGAGGTGTTGCAGATACAAAAATGAATAAGATAAGATTTCTCTCAAGAAACCGTTAACCATGGGAAAATCAGACTCAGGAAAAAAAATAATGCAATTACAAGGGATGATAGATTTGTACTGAGTATGGTGGAATCGCAGGAAACAGCAGACTAATTCGGTCTGAAGAGGTCAGGGATAGATTACTGGAGGAGATAGCACATGAGCCAAAGAGAGTGCAGCTAATTAGCCATCAGACTGAAGGGGGGATGGAGAAAAGACATTGAAGTGAGAGAAGAAATCACAAGCATAGCTAGCAATGTGGGGAACATATTCCAAAATTGTATTGCTGAGTATATTTCATGGAATACATTCAAGTTGCATGGTATTTTTCACCATTTACCACCATTCTTTAGATAAGTTTATTTACAGAAAAGTGAAATGTTTCCATAACTTTATATAAAAGATGTTTACATATTAAGTAAAATAAAAATAATGTATTTTGCCTTTCAACAAAGATTACACATGAACAACATTCTTTTGTAAATAATTTTCTGTGCTCCCTAAAGTTGAAATGACCTCCACTGCTCACCTCAATATGCACGTCCTTGAACTCAGAGGACTCTATATATATATATGTATATATATATATATGTGTATATATATGTATGTGTATATATATATATACACACACACATACACATCTATATCCATATAATGGATATATATATATAGATGTGTGTATACACACACACACACACGCGCGTACTGAGTAAACAGTAAAGAACACACGTACTGAGTAAACAGTAAAGAAATGCATTGATTCCAGAAGAGGGTGATATTGGAGAGAGGAGTGAAACAAACTTGAGGACTTGCAATCATTACAGATCTGAACAGACATGGAAAATGAGCTTACATTATTAGACCTGAGAAAATTACCAATTGGTGGCCAAAGTTGATTCTTGACATTCATATTTACCACAATGAAGAGCAATGGTTTTGTGTCTGTAGTGATATATCATTTGTTTCATATTTTTAAAATAATAAATAAAATATAATTTTTTAAAGAAAACATTTAAAGGCCCTAAGAAATATAGAAGTCCAACAGCCAAAGATCGCCAAGAACACTACTGTATTTAAAGTTAGGCCTAGTTATGTATCAGCAGCAAAAGCAGTAAAAATAAGTCAGAACTCAGAACAAGATACCACCCAAATATAGCACCTTAATATTTTAAGTATTTTAAGCTGAAGGAAGCTGAGAAAACCACAGAAGCAGAAATGTCTCTCTGAGCTTCTCCTGTTCCCTCTCTCCTGAAGAGAGCAAGCAAACAAACAAACAAAAAAACCTGGAATTTCCTTTGCCCCTTCTCCCTGAAACAGACTATAAAACGTAGGAAGGTCACTCTCTGACAATCTCCCTTTCTTCTTTCCTGAAGAACCTCATATTACAGGTGTTCTGCCCTATACAGGATGGGAAGAAATGTCACACAGAGACACAGAAAAGAATCTGAACAAATAGGCGTTGATGAGTTTTTCCCAGTTTATTGCCATTACATCATATCCTTTCGTCCTCCAGTCATACTTCTTCTGCATGACTGTCCGCAAAAATACATGGATCTTCATTTCTGAAGGCCCTCACCTAAAATGTGTATTAAATCAATGTGTATATTTTTCTCTTTTTATCTGTCTTTTGTTTTAGGGTTCTCAGCCATGAACCTTATGATGAATAGCAAAAAATTTTGTTTTATCTCCCTTAATATACCAGGACAGTCTTGAGAAGAGGAGGTTTAGAGAGGTTATTTATAGGATTTGGAATTGGGCTGTGTGGTTACAGGGAAGGTTTAAGGAAACCAAGCATATTCTAGATTGAGAAGAAAACCTAGGTAATACCATTCAGGACATAGGAGTGGGCAAAGACTTCATGACTAAAACACCAAAAGCAATTGCATCAAAAGTTAAAATTGACAAATGGGATCTAATTAAACTAAAGAGCTTCTGCACAGCAAAAGAAACTATCATCAGAGCGAACAGGCAACCTACGGAATGGGAGAAAATTTTTGCAATCTATCCATCTGACAAAGGGCTAATATCCAGAATCTACAAGGAACTTAAAAAAACTTACAAGAAAAAAAAAACAAACAATCCCATCAAAAAGTGGGTGAAAGATATGAACAGACACTTTTCAAAATAAGACATTTATGCAGCCCACAAACATGTGAAAACAAGCTCATCATCACTGGTCATTAGAGAAATGAAAATCAAAACCACAGTGAGATACCATCTCACACCAGTTAGAATGGTGATCATTAAAAAGTCAGGAAACAACAGATGCTGGAGAGGATGTGGATAAACAGGAACACTTTTACACTGTTGGTGGAAGTGTAAATTAGTTCAACTATTGTGGAAGACAGTGTGGTGATTCCTCAAAGATCTAGAAACAGAAATACCATTTGACCCAGCAATCGCATTACTGGGTATATACGCAAAGGATTATAAATTATTCTACTATAAAGACACATGCACACGTATGTTTATTGCAGCACTATTCACAATAGCAAAGACTTGGAACCAACCCAAATGCCCACCAATGGGTGTTTATAGACTGGATAAAGACACTTTGTCATATATACACCATGAAATACTATATAGCCATAAAAAAGGATGAATTCATGTCCTTTGCAGGGACATGGATGAAGCTGGAAACCATCATTCTCAGCAAACTTACACAGAAACAGAAAACCAAACACGACATGTTCTCACTCATAAGTGGGAGTTGAACAGTGAGAACATGTGGACACAGGGAGAGGACCATAACACACTGGGGCCTATCAGGGGGTGTGGCGCAAGGGGAGGGATAGCATTAGGAGAAATACCTAATGTAGATGATGGTTTGATGGGTGCAGCAAACCACCATAGCACATGTATACTACCTATGTAACAAACCTGCACATTCTGTACATGTATCCCAGAACTTCAAGTATAATAATAATAAAAGAAAATAATCAAGACCCAACCCAAAAGCACACTTACCATCTCTACAAATATTTGCATTTTTATCTTTCGTTAAGTGGAAAGTTTAGGTAAGGATGAACAATTTATTCAATTGAATTGATTTAATTTCTGGAAGATGTTTGTATGTTAAACAGTGAATTTATAACTATGATTTTATAGTCTTCTTGACAACCATTTGGTATGAATCATCAACATAAAACATGAAACAGGATTATCCAAAAAAATTCTTCTAAGGTTTGTAGTAGGCATAAATATTTCCCTAATGGAGTCACTGGGTTCAGAGTGTTAACAGTGATGGATAGTGATATGTGAGAGAAAGTGACAGAGGACATTCACAAATCTCCAGAGGCCTTAATTTATCTTGTGAAATATATTATGGATGTCAATGATTGATAAAGGTATTTCTCAATTTTTTTTAATATAAAAGTTTATCTGTTGACAGTCATTATTCCAGACCATGCCTAAAACCGGAGTATGCTTCTTTTAACCTGAGAAATACACAGACATTAAACATAGTTATATTAAGATATTTTAATTATACATAATTAAAATGATTTCACTTCTCTTTGGAATATCCATTTTCTCTAATCTTTGTCTTAGTTAACAAAAGAGCTCTCACAATCAATATGAAATAATTAAATTCTGAAGAATGTTAAAGAAAGCAAATAGTATTCCTATTATATGAATTTTTTATCTGGGGCAAATGCTATTTACTTGGTTCATAATATGTATGTATGTACACACGTCCATATAATGGATATATATAGATGTGTGTATACACACACACATATAATGGATATATAGATGTGTGTATACACACACACACAAACACACACACACATACATGTAGAAAAGAAGTAAATGTTTGCTTTTCCTGTGGCCATAGAATCTTAGCGGTTTTATTTATCTTTATACACAAACAAACTTATTAATCTGAATTTGAAGCTTGAACCTGAGAAAGGCAAAATTTAAAAACTAATTTTAAGAAAGGATACGATATGAACATAAATAATAAATATTGATATATAAGAAATTGTTACAGGCAATATTTTTAAACCCAGGAAGCACATCAATAATTATAAAAAATTAATATTTATTTTCTATATATAAAGAACTTTAAATTATTTAATTAAATTACAGCCTAAAGTCTCAAATAAAGTAATCTTAAATTTTCATTATTTTATAAAATATTACTTCTAATTTTACCTTTATAAATTTTTAACACTACTCTCAAGATCCTCCATATAAATCTTGTGTATAAGTATTTAAACATAAGATATATGTTGTATTTGTTTTATAAATTATTATAATGAAAAATAATGTAATATGAAACACTGTAATGTAAATAATTATAAGTATAAAAGTAGACAATAATGTGAAAGATTATACCTTAATTGAAAAAAATAATCAGTATATCAAATAAATAAAATAATACAAATATATAATATTGAATATGACATCTTAATGAACTTCAACTTCTCTCAAAAGATATGAAAGCTTATTATGAACATAATTTTATATTCATTTTAATTATTGTACTTTACATAGTCTCAATAATTTATGTTCATTAACACCTTTATATAAAGTAACCATAATTGATTTTCTCCAGATGAACAGAAAACAAGAAGACAGGAAATTTAAAACTATGTAGTTATTTTTCTCCTGCGTGTGTAGGAGCACACACATCATATTATGTCTGCAAATTTCAAGGTGGCAAAAACAAATATATATTAAATATCATCCAAAGGACTGTGAGCATTTTCTTAATTTTTAGCCACTCTTTACAGATAAGAAACAAGGTAATGAAAACTATTTTAGAACACAGAGATAATTTAGTGGTCAGCAAGTCAAAGAGAGAGGCTTCCCCAGAATCCAACCATGCTGGCACCCTGATCTTGGATGTCCGGCTTCCAGAACTGTAAGAAAACAAATGTTTGTTGCAGTTTGTGGTACTCGATTATAGCAGCTTCAGCGGACTAATTGGAATGGGTTATAAACTGGTTTTTATGATTGCTCAATACTGTAGACAAATATTACTGTCTTTTCTAAAAAGTAGGAATTCCTTTTTCTTTCTTAGTTATTTATGTAGGGGAAGCCATCATCAGTTGTCCAGATATTCAACTCTGTGTTGATTCTCCATGAAGACAATATTAATTTGTAGAGATCCTATATTTAGTTTGAAAGTTGATCAACATTATTTCATTCTGTTTTTATTTTTGAATCGTTTATTGATTTTTTTGCCGTCCAGAGACTTTTAAAATTCTGGGTAACGGATGCATTTGACAACAACAACTAAGCTAAAAGCATTCAGAGAAAGAACAGAACATACTCTGCATTTTTCAGACTTCACCAAGAAAGTCTTAATGATTCCATGAGTCTACCTTACGTGGATATGTTACCTTGCTTTGAAACTTGTGTTAGTGTAAAATTTGAGTTGCCTTTCCTTTGGAAAGCCAAAAAGATCAAGAAAAAAAAAGTCAGAATATTTTATTATCATCTAAAATTAATTTTATTTGATTTTTGGCATCCTGAGAGTGTCAGATATAAGAATAATGAGAAAAAGTAAGATAAAAAAGATAAAGAAAAAGATGGAAAGAAAGCTATGAAAATAAGTGGTCCCAGGTTTCTAGGAGAATTTTGTGTCTAGGGAAGATGCTATTTACTTGTTTGATTTGGCGATTTATTTTGAGGGGCTTAGTTCTGCCTTCAAGTTCTCACATTAAACAAGAATTAATGAGGTTAAAGCATTTAAAATCATAGTCATCAAACTTAAAAGAGGCTAATACATAAACCAAAATGCCAGTTTAGCAATTTAAAATGACTGATGTATGTCAACTGCCAGACTTTGCCAGTTATTGGTATAAAGCTCTCTCTGCATGTCAGAAGCTAAAACTACAAATTAGATTAGTAAGTAGGTCTAGAGCGAGATCTTTTAGGACATTTTTCCATCAAACTATTGACAGAGAATGAATAATATCATCTACTTGAATTGCATTTTTCTCTAGACAGGCAGATTGTATTCTTAAAATTAGAACATTCCATATTGCCAGAAACAGACTCACATATTCTAAAAAATTGATGCTGTTTTTTTCTAGAATCCATGAACTAACTCTACAAATCTTTGATTAAAACATAAAGTCATGTTTATATCCATCTTATGATTAATTACAAATTAATTAAAAAATTCAACAATAAATTATCAAGCACCACAATTACTTTCGCACCTACCTAATAATTCCCACCTCAATTGATTGACAGGCAAGTTTGCAATATGATATTTAATCTACTATAGAGAAATAGAAAAGAAGCAAATGAGAGACATAATGAAGGAACAGTTCATTAAGCTGAGGAAAGTCTTCAGCCCTTAATTGCAGGTACTCTCATGTTATTGAAAATAGCCATTCATATATTAATTTTAGATTCAGATGAATGCCTATGGTACTATCCAAGAGATGTCTAGGATTATTTCTGAAAATTAAGGAAAACACATCTACTAGATTGCAGTAATTCATGAAAACAATAGAAACAGAATGGTAAACAGGTAGATTTGAGTATGAAAAATATTTGCCTCTGATTTCATGAAATATTGGACAACATGGACCAGATAATTAGAGAATTAATTGAAATTGAAAGCCCCTTAGCGTGAACTTACTGCAAAAATAAAAATGCAGAAAAAAACTTTTAAAAGATGTAAAGACAAATGATTCACAAATGAATGAAAAATGGTTTTGTAACTTGAAAATTGAAGAAATGCACATTAAATAAGGACTGTGGTATCATTTAAAATTGAATATTAAAAATAGTATTGCCAACTTTATCATTATTTTGTTCCTTCTGATCTGTATTTCACACCTCATTCTTCTTTGTCCACAAATACTAATCTGTAAGGCTTCTATGAGAGGATACCTTTGCTCTCTGGCTTCTAGCTCATTGGCAAGCATGGGGAATTGACTGAGGTTTAAAGCAAGAGAGAAGAGGGAGGTTTCAGTTTTTATTCCCCCCAGCTCCTGTGTTGCAGAAGAGAGACTTTCTCTTGGCCAGCTTAATTCAGAGTGCAAATTAACAATAGTCAGACATTTGGATTCGTCTGTAGGCCAGAGTAAATCACCCGACAGATTGGAATACTGCTACAAAATCAAAGCAATGATGACTATGTTCAGAAACCAGGAAATTGGAGTGTCATTTACTACTGTCTTGTTAAATTCTGGTCAATGTAAAACTGCAGTAATCCAGTAAATACTAGAGGAATGATTACCAAGAACTCAGCGCAGAACCACAGCATTGAGGTTCACCCAGCTAGGTAAAGGACCCCCAACCAGACACACCACGAACCCAATGTATAGGAAAGGCTAGCTACAGAAGTAGCCTTGTTTTATTTTATTTGCTTATGTTTTCTTTGTTGTACACAATTTTGTATGAAAAAATAGTGAATTACCTCTTAGGTTACTTATTAATTATGATCCAAATGTCACCATCACTGGACAATGGAGAGGTTGAGGAGATTTTATATATCTCTTATCTGACAGAATGAATAAAAATGTATGTGGAGGGGCAAAAGGACTGTATTGCTGAGTATCTCTTTAGATCCACTTGTTAACCTTCTTTCCTGTGCCCTTCCAATCTGAGCTATATGAACAAAATAAAAAATTGGCTCTTTCTGCTTTCTGGCTTCCTATTAAACAGTTAGTCAACATAGTCTTCTCTGTCACAGATTGCAATAATCTCCCTCGTTTGCCTTTCCAGACCTCAGGTGGTAGTAGAGCACAAGTATTACTCTCCCCGGTATTCTATCTCTAGTAGTTTCCTCACATGTGCCCCAAACCATTGTAAACAGTCTTTTAATAAACTCAGAGCAAAGAATTCTTATGTAACCTTTCTGTATTCCTTTTATTCTACCTGAGTTCTGATTGATGAGCTGTAGCACACAATATTTGGAGAAGTGTTGGTTTGGTAATATTACAACTTATTGCATTAGTTATAAATTACTACACAGCTTTCAGAGGGCAGTTTGATCATTTGTATTCAATTAAAAGTATTAGTAAGGCTAGGCTAAACTGTGATAATAAAGCATTTATTCTTTCACTCTATTAATATGGATTCTTTCTCAGTTTATTTGTGTCTTCTTCAATTTCTTTAACCAATGTTTTATAGTTTCCTTTGTACAGATCTTTCACTTCCATGGTTAAACGTATGCTTAAGTATTTTATTCCTTCTGGTGCTATTGTAAATGGGATTATTTTCTTATTTTTTTGTCTAGATAGTATATTATTAATGTATAGAATCATGACTGATTTTTCTATGTTGATATTTTTATTCACAACTTTATATCCTGTGTTAGTTTTAACACTATTTTTTTGGAAACTTTGTAGACTGACATATAAGATCACGTCATCTGCAAACACAAATGTTACGGTTTCCTTTCTGATTTGGATTGAGTTGAATGCTTCTTATTTCTTTTTTTAAAGGCATAATGTCATGCTTTTATTGGAAGTATTTCTTTCCTTTGTAGAGTGAAATATTTCTTGTTCCTTCCAACTTTCATGTTAGATTCAGGAGACACATGCACAGATTTGTTACATGAGTAAATTTTGTTTTACTGGGGTTTGGTATACAAAATTTCACCACCCAAGTAATGAGCATTGTACCCGATAGGTAGGTTTTCCATCCTCATGCTTCTCCCAGCCTCCATCCTCAAGTAGGCCCAGTGTTATTCACTCTTTTGTGTCCATCTGTACTCAAAGCTTAGCCCCAACAAATAAGTGAGAATACATGGTATTTGGTTTTCTGTTCCTGTGTTAATTTACTTATGATAATGGCCTCTAGCTGCATCCATGTTGGTGTAAAGGACATGATTTTGTTCTTTGTCATGGCTACATAGTATTCCATGGTGTATAGATATACAATTTCTTTATCAAGTCCACTGTTGATAGGCATATAGATTGTTCTATGTCTTTGCTATTGTGAGTGGTGCTGTGATGAACATACACATGCGTGTGTCTTTATGGTAGTAATATTTGTATTCCTTTTGGTATATATACCCTAATGGGATTGTTGAGTCAAAAAAAATACTTGTTTTTTGTTTTTAAGTTGTTTTAAGGTGACTGTTTAAGTTCTGTTTCAAGTTGTTTGAGAAGTCTCCAAACTGCTTTCCAAAATGGCTAATTTACATTCTCGCCAACAGTGTACAAACATTTCCTTTTCTCTGCAACCTAGCTAGCATCTGTTATTTTTTGACCTTTTAATAATAGCCATTCTGACTAGTATGAGATAGTGTCTCATGGCTTTGATTTGCATTCCTCTAATGATTAATGATGTTGAATATTTTTTCATATGCTTGTTGACCACTTGTATCTCTTCTTTTAAGAAGTGTCTGTTCATGTATTTTGCCCATTTTTTAATGGGGTTGTTTGTTTTTTGCTTGTTGATTTGTTTAAATTCCTTATAGATTCTAGATATTAGACCTTTGTCAGATGAATAGTTTGCAAAAATGTTCTCCCATTCTATAGGTTCTCAGTTGACTCTGTTTATAGTTTCTGTTGCTGTATAGAAGCTCTTTAGTTTAATTAGATCTCATTTGTCAATTTTTGTTTTTGTGGCAACTGCTTTTGGAGTCTTCACTGTTAAATCTTTGCTACGGCCTATGTCCAGAGTGGTATTTTCTAGGTTTCCTTCTAAGGTTTTTATAGATTTAGGTCTTCCATATAAGTCTTTAAGCCATCCTGGGTTGTTTTTTTTATATGTCGTGAAAGTAAGAGGTCCAGTTTCAATCTTCTGCATGAGGTTAGCCACTTATACTAGCACTATTTATTGAATAGGATCTCCTTTCTCCCTTGCTGGTGATTGTTAACTTTGTCAAAAATCAAATGGTTTTAGGTGTGTGGCTTTATTTGTGGGTTCTCTATTCTATTCCATTGCTCTATCTGTCTGTTTTTGTGCCAGTAACATGCTGTTTTCACTACACTAGCCTTCTATTATTGTTTGAAGACAGGTAACGTGATGCCCGCAGCTTTCTTTCTTTCTTTTTTTTTTTTTTCCTTAGGATTGCTTTGGCTATTTGGCCCTGTTTTTGTTCCATGTGGATTTTAGAATAGTTTTTACTAATTCTGTAAAAAAAATGCTGTTGGTAATTTGATAGGAATAGCATTTAATCTATGAATTGCTTTGGGCATTATGACCATTTTAACTATTAGGTTGATGCAAAAGTAATTGTGTCTTTTTTTCATTAAAAGTAATGGCAAAAACCACAGTTACTTTTTCACCAACCTAGTATTTTGATTCTTCCTATCAATGAGCATAGAATTTTTTCCATTTGCTTGTGTCGTCTTCACTTTCTTTTAGCAGTGTTTTGTAGTTCTCACTGTAGAGATCTTTCACCTTTCTGGTTAGCTATATTCCTAGGTATTTTATTCGTTTTGTGGCTATTATTAATGAGGTTTTCATCTTGATTTGGCTCTCAGTTTGGATGTTATTGGTATATCAAAATGCTATTGATTTCTGTACATTTATTTTATATCCTGAAAATTTGCTGAAGTTTTTTTATCATATATAGGAGCCTTTGGGCAGATACTATGGGGTATTCTGGGAATAGAATCATTTTGTCTGCAAAGAGAGATAGCTTGACTTCCTCTCTTTCTATTTGAATGCATTTTATTTCTTTCTATTGACTAATTGCTCTGGCTACGACTTCTAGTAATATATTCAATAGAAGCGATGAGAGTGGGTATCTTTGTTTTGATCTGGTTCCAAGCAGAATGCTTTCAGCTTTTCCCTGTTTAGTATGATGTTGGCTGCAGGTTTGTCACAGATGCCTCTTATTTTTTTGAGGTACATTCTTCAATGTCTAGTCTGTTGGGGGTTTTTAACATGAACTGAGGTTGGATTTTGTCAAAAACCTTTCTGCACTTATTGAGATGATCATGTAATTTTTGTTTTTAGTTCTGTTTATGTGATGAAAGACATT
The DNA here is from genome assembly GCF_000001405.40 of Homo sapiens. Lineage (NCBI taxonomy): Eukaryota > Metazoa > Chordata > Mammalia > Primates > Hominidae > Homo > Homo sapiens. The sequence continues at coordinate 24,994,846 of NC_000005.10, read as the reverse complement.
TATTGATTTGCATATTGTTAAACCCCCCTGTATCCCAGAATAAAAGTCCACTTGATCATGGTGAATTAGCTTTTTGATGTGCTGCTGGATTTGCTTTGGTTGCATATTCTTGAGGATTTTTGTACCTATGTTCAGCAAGGATATTGGTTTGAAGTTTTCTTTTTTCACTGGAGCTCTGTCAGGATTTGGTATCAGAAAGATGCTGGTTTAATATAATGAGTTAGGGAGAGGGAGGCATGCTTCCTCCTTGAGTTTTTGGAATAATTTGAGCAGGATTGGTACCACATCTTCTTTATATGTTTGGTAGAATTCATTTGTGAATTGGCCTGCTCCAGAATTTTTTCTGGATGGTAAGTTTTTAATTACTGAGTCAATTTCAGAACTTGTTTTGGTCTGTTTGGTGTTTCAGTTTCTTCCTTGTTCAATCTTGGAAGGTTGTATGTTTCCCGGAATTCATCCATTTTTTTTTCTAGGTTTTCGAGTTTGTATCAGAGGTGTTCATAATAGTATCTGAGAGATTTTTGTATGTCTGTGGGATCAGTGGTATTGTTGCCTTTGTCATTTCTGGATTGAGTTTATTTGGATCCTCTCTTTTTCTTCTTTATCAGTGTAGCTATATGGTCTATGTGTCTTATTTATTCTTTCAAATAACCAAAATTTGTTTTCTTTGTCTTTTTAATGATTTTTGTACCTCAATTTTGTTCAGTTCAGCCTCATCTTTGTTATTTCTTATCTTCTGTAGCTTAAAGATTGGTTTGCTCTTGTTTTTCTAGTTCCTCTTGGTGTGATGTTAGGTTATTAATGTAAGATCTTTCTAACTTTATGATGTGGGCATTTAGTGCTATAAACTTTCCTTTTAACACTGATTTAGCTGAGTCCCAGATATTCTAGTAGGTTGTATCTTTGTTTTCAGTAGTTTCAAAAAACATCTTGATTTCTGCCTTCATTTTATTGTTTCCTACAAGTCATTCAGCAGCAGATTGTTTAATTTCCATGGGATTGTATAGTTTTGAGAGCTCATCTTAGCATTAACTTCTATTTATATTGTACTGTGGTCTGAAAGTGTGCTTGGTTTGATTTCATTTTTTAAAATTTGTTGAGAATAGCTTTATGGCCACGTGTTTGATTTTAGCATATGTGCCATGCGTAGCTGAGAAGGAGGAAAAAAAGGATTTTATTTCTTCTTCATTTATGAAGCCTAATTTGGCTAGTTATAAAATTCTTTCTTGGAATTCCTGTTCTTTAAGGATGCTGAATATAGGTCGTCAATCTCTTCCGGCTTGTAGGGTTTCTACTGAAAGGCCTGCTCTTCACCTGATGGGGTTTGCTTTGTAGGTGACCTGTCTCTTCTCTCTAGCTGTCTTTAATATTTTTTGTGTGTGTTTATCTTGGTGAATTTGATGACTATGTGTCTTTGAGATGGTCATCTTGCATACAGAGTATGTGCGATGTACATTCTGTTGTTGGGTGGAATGTTCTGTAGATGTCTGTTGGATTCATTTGGTCAATGTGAATTTTAGCTTCTTAATATCATTGTTAGTTTTCTGCCTTGATGTTCTGTCTAATACTATCAGTGGGGTGTTGAAGTCTTCCATTAAGTCTCTTTGTAGATCTTTAACAACTTCTCTTATGAATCTAGGTTCTCCATTGTTGGTTGCATATATATTTAAGATAGTTAAGTCTTTTTGTTGAATTGAACTTTTTACCATTATGTAATACCATTTTTCGTCCTTTCCAATCATTGTTCCTTTGAGTCTGTTTTGTTTGAAATAAGAGTAGCAACACTTGCTGTTCTTTGTTTTCTATTTGCTTGATAGATCTTTCTCCATCCCATTACTTTGAGCCCATCGGTGTCACTGCATGTAAGACCTGTCTGTTATAGAGCGAATAGAGTTAGGTTTTTCTTCTTTATGCAACTTGCCATTCTGTGTCTTTTAAGGTGGTGTTTAGTCCATTAATATTTAAGGTTAATATTTCTATGTATGGATGTGATCCTGTCATTGTGTTGTTAGGTTTTTTATGTACACTTGATTGTATAGTTGCTTTATAGTGACAACGATCTGTGCACTTAAGTGTGTCTTCACGGTGGCTGATAATACTCTTTCTTTCTCATGTTTAGCACTCACTTAAGGATTTCTTATAAGGCAGGTCTTATGGTAACAATTTCCCTTGGCATTTGCTTGTCAAAGAAAGGATTTTATTTCTCCTTCACTTATGAAGCTTAGTTTGACTGGACATAAAATTCTAGTTTGGAATTTCTGTTCTTTAAGGATGCTGAATATAGGCCCTCAGTCTCTTCTGGCTTGTAGACTTACTGCTGAAAGACCTGCTGTTAGCCTGATGGGGTTTGATTTGTAGGTGTCCTGCCTCTTCTCTCTAGCTGTCTTCAATATTTTTTCTTTTGTGTTGACCTTAGTGAATTTGATGACTTTGTGTCTTTGGGATGGCATCATGCATAGTATCTCAGTATTTTTTTCCTGAAATTCCTGAATTTAAATATGGACCCCTCTAGTCAGTCTGGGGAAATATTTGTGGACAATATACTCAAATGTGCTTTCCAAGTTGCTTGAACTCTCTCCCTCTCTTTCAGGGACACCAGTGCGTCATATGTTTGGTCTCTGTACATAATTTCATATTTGTCAGAGGTTTTGTTTACTTTTTAATTCTTTTTAAATTTTTTTTTCTGCCTGAGTTGAGTCAATAAAGCGGTCTTTGAACTTGAGATTATTTTCTTAGTTTTGCCTATTTTACTGTTAATGCAATTATATTATGAAATTATTTTAGTGAACTTTTCAGCTCTATCATCTTAAAATGGCTATTTTGTCTTTCAGTTATTTTTTATTTTTTTAATTTTTTTTTTTAAGACTGGGTTTTGCTCTTGTCACCTAGGCTGGAGTGCAATGGCATGATCTTGACTTACTGCGACCTCCGCCTCCAAGCAATTCTCCTGCCTCAGCCTCCCAACTAGCTGAGATTACAGGCACTGGCCACCATACCCAGGTAATTTTTGTATTTTTAGTAGAGACGAGGTTTCGTCTTGTTGGTCAGGCTGGTCTTGAACTCCTGACCTCAGGAAATCCACCTACCTTGGGCTCCCAAAGTGCTGGGATTACAGACCTGAGCCACTGCGCCCAGCCTGTCTTTCAGTTCTTGAATCATTTTACTGAATTCCTTAAATTTTTCCACTTTCTCTTGAAACTTGATGATGTTTATTGCCATCCAGCTTCAAAATTTTGTTTGTCATTTCAGCCATTTCAACCTAGTTAAGAACCATTGCTGGAGAGATAGTGTGGTCTTTTGGAGGTAAGAAGACACTCTGGGCTTGGCATGGTGGTTCACGCCTGTAATCCTAGCACTTGGCGATGCCAAGGTGGGAGGATCTTTTGAGCTCAGAAGTTCAAAACCAGCCTTGGCAACATGACGAAACCTCATCTGTACCAAACACACAAAAATTAGCTGGATGTGGCAGTGTGTGCCCGTAGTCTTAGCTACTCTGGAGGCTAAGGTAGGAGGATCACCTGAGCCCAGGAGGTCATTGCTATGGTGAGCTGAGATTGTGCACTCCAGCCTGGGCAAAAGAGTGAGTCCCTGTCAAAAATAAACAAACAAAAACACACTCTGTCTTTTAGAGTTACCGGAGTTCTTGTGCTGGTTCTTTCTCATCTGTCTGGACTGTTGTTCCTTTAATTTTTGAAGTTGCTGTCATTTGAAAGGTGCTTTTGGCTTTTATTTTCTTTGATGCCTTAGAGGATTTCTGTGGCATAAGTTGGGTTTGGTTGAATGGCTTTGCTTCTGGGCCAAGGGGGGCCAAGAAAGAACTCAGGGGTTGAGCAGGGCCTGGGATTACACCCATGGCTTTGTTCCCTCTCCCTTCAATATTAAGCATCTGATGCACTGGAATGGCCTAGGTGTTCTTGTCCCTGACAACAACAATCTGATGGTGAGTTCTGGCAAAAGCACTTCACTGGGGCAGTGACAACTGGGCCTACATTCACATATGTGTGCTGGTGCATGTAGGGTATGAATGACTTTTATTTCATTATCTTGTCTAATCATTCTGGCTAGGACTTACAGTACTTTGTTGAACAGAATTAGTGAGAGTGGGCACCCTTGTTTTGTTTCTGAAGTTAGAGAAAAAATTTTTGGATTTTCACCATTGTGTATCATGTTAGCCATGGACATGTCATATATAGCCCAAATTATCTTAAGGTAAATTTCTTCTGTATCTAATTTATTGAGAGTTTTGATCATGAAAAGATGTTTAAATTATTACATGCTTTTTCTGCATCTACTGAGAATATCTAATGATTTTTATCTTTTATTATGTTAATGCGGTATATCCCATTTTTTGTTTTGCCTACGTTGAACCATCCTGGCATACCAGGATTAAATTCCACCTGATCATGTTATGTATAATCATTTTAATGTGTTACTAAATTTGTTTCGCTAGCATTTGGTTGAGAATTTTGGCATTTTGCGTATCAGGTATACTGGAATAAAATTTTCTTTCATTTCAATTTCCTTCTCTGGTTTTGATATCATGGTAATACTGGCCTTGTACAAATAAGTTTGGGATGTTTCTTCCTCTTTATATTTTTTGCAGAGTTTAAAAAGGATTTATGTTAATTCTTCAAATGTTTTGTAGAACTTAGCCTTGAAGTTATCTAGTTTGAGCTTTTCTTTTTGTTCAGAGATTTTTGATTACTTATATAATCTTCTTACTCATTACTAGTCTGTTTAGATTTTCTAATTTTTCGTGATTCAATCTTGGTAGGCTGTATGTTCCTAGAAATTAATCAATATTTCTAAATTATTCAATTTATTGGCATATAATTTTTCTGAGCAGTCTCTTGTGACATTTTGTGTTTCTTTGTTGTTAAAATGTCCATACTACTTAAAGTAAGCTACATAATCCATGCAATCCTATAAAAATTCAAATTGCATTTTTCAGAGAAATAGAAACATTTATATGGAAGGAACCACCAAAAATGCAGAATAGCCAAACCAATTTTGAGCAAGAAGAGCAAAGCTGGAGGCATCATACTTACTGAAATCAAATTATATTACAAAGCTATACTAATCAAAAACTATATAGTACTGAATAAAACAGGAAATTAGACCAATAGAATAGAACAGAGAGTCCAGAGATAAATACATGTATATACAGCCAACTAATTAAGACAAGAATGACAAAAATATATAATGGGTAATGGATAGTCTCTTTAATAAAGGGTGTTGAGAAAACTGAATATCTGCATACAAACAAATAAAATAACACTTATGTTATACACAAAAATCAACTAAAATCGGTTAAAGACTTATATATATGAGACTTGAAGCAATAATACTCTTCAAAGAAAACAGGCAAGAAGCACCTTGACATTGGTCTTGGCAATGATTTTTTTTTAAATATCACAAAAAGAACAGGCAACAAAAGCAAAAGTAAACAAGTGAGATTAAATCAGAGTAAAAACTTTCTACACAGAAAGTTTTTAACAAAATGAAATGGCAACCTAGTAAACAATAGAAAATATTTTCAAATCATATATGTGGTGAGGGTTAGTATCCAAAATATACAATGAAATTATACAACTAAATAGCAAAAATCCACCAATAAACCTGTTAGTAAATGGGCGAAGTATCCAAAAAGACATTTTTCCAAAGAAGACATACAAATGGCCAACAGGCATATGTGCTCAACATCACTAATCATCGGGAAAATGCAAATCAAAACCACAATGAGCTATCACCTCACACCCGTTAGAATGCCTATTATTAAAAAAAAAAAAGACAAGAAGTATTGGCAAAGATATGGAGAAAAGGGATTCTTGTACAATATTGGAAAATTGATATAGACATTACAGAAAAGCATAAGGAGATTCCTTAAAACTTAAAAGATAGTATTACCATATAATCCAGAAATTCCATTTCTGGGCATAGAAATCAGGATCTTGAAGAGATGTCTGCCCTTAGATGTTCATTGCAGCATTATTCATAATAGCAAAGGTATGGAAACAAAATAAAAGTCCATAGATGGATGAATGGATAAGGAAATTGTGATAAATACATACAATAGCATATTACTCAGCCTTAAAAACAGAAAACTTTGCCTTTTCAGATAATATGGATTATCTTAAACAAAATAAGCCAGACATACAAAAATACATTCCACATTAACTCACTTAGGTATGGAATCTTGAGGAATCAAACTCAGAAGCAGATTGTAGTATGCTGGTTTTAAGGGGCTGAGGTAGAGAAAATGGGGAGGTAGTGGTTAAAGAGTGTGAAGCTTCAGTTATGCAAGATGAATAAATTCTGGGAATCTATAGAACATAGTGCCTATCACTAACAATACTGTGTTGTTTATTTCAAATTTGCTAAGATAGTAGATCTTATATTAAGTGATCTGTTAAAAAATAAGAAAAAAAAAGAAACAAAGTGAAACAAAAGAAAACAAACAATAGTAATAAAGAGGATGAGAGAAATTTTTCAAGGAGATAGATATGTTTATGACCTTGATGGCGGTGATGGTTTCATGGACACATTCTTATCCCAAAACTCAATGAGATGGGGATATTAAGTACCACAGCTTTTAAAATGTCTATCCTATCATAATAAAGTAGTTAAAATATGTAATTCAAAAAAGATACCCCAAAATTTAGTAGCTTAAAAAGCAAGAGGGTTTTTTCTTAAGTAAATGTTCTGGGCAGGTATATCGGCCAGCAGAATACTCTTCTGCCTTGTCATCCAAAAGCTAAGCCCACAGCAGCTATGAAATTCAACAGATGTCTCCAAGGTCACTTTGGTTGTTACCAGGCCAGTCATTCAAGATGGACAAAGAACATGGAGTATCATACATGTGAGAATTTATGAACAAGATCTGGAAGGGGTACCCATCGATTCCTCTAACCGGTGATCGAATATAAATTAACCACATGGCCATTCCTAATTGTAAAGGAGGATGGGAAAAATAAACTAGTTTTATTATCAATAAATAAGAGAATATATATCAGTTGGCAGTTAGCAGTCTTTCAATTCAAAAAGGTTTCTGCAAAAACATTGAGTCTTACAAATATAGGTGCAGATAATGATATATTTTAATTTTTATAATAGGAAATTGGAAACAAAATACTTGTTCCACTATTGATTATTGATTAAACAATTATAGCTCATATTTTAACAAATTATTATGGAGCCATTAAAACTTACAATTTAGAATATTTTAAAACATGTCTTGTTGCTATATATTTATGTATTCCAATACTCAAAATATTCAGTATATATGTATTCATCTTTAAAGATTGAAAAGAACTGGAAAAAATACGAAATATGCTGATTTCTATGTGTGGGTTTTTGTATTTCTGTAAATGCTTCTCTGTTTCTAAATAGTTTTACAATGATTATGTATAATTTTTAGAATCAAAATGAAAAGTGCAAAATTATTTATAATAGTTATATAAGCATGCCATTTGAACTACTTTAAATAAAAATAGGTAGAAAATTATTTTTACAATGAAAAATTATATTTTTCCCCATTCTCACTTGTTGGAAAAGAGGAACAGATTTTCCTCCCACGTGTGAGAAAAAAATCACCTTGGAAAAAGGCAAAACATGCGACACTTTCGTGCAAACCAAGACTTTTTCAGAATAATGTCAGGTTCTGAAAACAGAAGTTTGTAATAGAAAGTGTTTAGTAACATTAATCATAGCATTTGGTACAGTCTTGCCATAATGTCTAAACATTTATTTAAAGCTTTTTTAGAGTTTTAAAAGTACCTACATACCGGGTGTTTTTTGAACTTCATATTAAAGTATCAAATATGTTAGTTATTTATTTACAAATGTTCAAGGATTTTAATGGTATTAATATGTAAATAATTGCATTAAAAATAGACCTCCAATATGATTTATGCATCTTGCTATTAAAATTTGGAAAAATCTTAGAAGTTGCAAAAATTCCACTTTCTTTTCTTTCTTTGTGCTTTTCTAATGTGGCCTACATCCTCCCAAGCCTTATAGGATTAAAATTTTCTAAGCAGGGACAAAACTTTAAAGTGCAGTTTTCTTTCTGTAGACTTTGTAGCAGCATTTCTTAGGTAGCCAATTCAAATAATTTCTGTTTCTTTTCAATGTTCAAGAAATAGTCAAAATGAAAAGGAATGAACTTAAGTAATAAATATGTATGTCTCTGTAGGCATGTGTGTCCATACACCTACATATATATATTTACATATTTTATTCATATACATGAAACGTAGCAAGAACTGATGCATGTAACTGAACCTGTCAAACACTTCTGATTGCCACAGTGGTGACATTGTCTGATATAATCAAGAATAATTGTACTTTTTCTCAGTTAAGTATACTTCACATGGCTTTTGTCACTGAGGAATGACATTATCATAAAACGATGAACGTCATTGAAACACTTTTTTCTCAATAAATACATTACTATATATCACAAATAGATAAGGATTTCACTATAATAGTATCATCATCAAACCTAAAAGATTAAACATAGTCCATTCATATTCTGTAATAACAGTCCATGCTCATCTTTTTGAAATATTAAAAATACATTTTTATATAATCCAGATCCAAATGGGGTCCATCATTTACTTTATTACAGCCTCTTCTTCATTTAGTCTGGTTCATGCCTTTTATTTATTCATTCACTGTTTAAATGGGCTCATTTATTCTTTAGAATTTCTCACTTTCTGAAATTGTATTATTTCATTCTCATGATGTCATCTAACATATTCCTCCATTGCCTAAGTTTTTGGTGAATGTAAAGTTAGATTTAGAGGCTCAGTAAGCTCTGATGAGGTCACTATGAGTTTTCAGACAAGGCAAGAAAGGGTATTAAGTTTACTACCTTACAGGAGTAAGCTTTAAAAGAAATGAAAATTCAAAGAATATCCTTTGACAATTTTCAAATAGAATATGGATTGGTGGGGAAAGACAGTAAAAACACATTTATTCCTAATTTTTTAAAACCAAAGATGTAGTAATGGCTGTACAGAGCACAAGTAAATGGGATATAAATTAGAGTGACTTTTTCTGTCCTCCCGTTTCTATCTGGGGACACTCTTCATACGGGTAATGTCTTGTCAGAGTTGGAAACACTGCCACATTCTTGTCTTTCCACAATCTTTTCATACTCCAGGTTGCAGCATCTTCTTCAAAGATTTACACTACTAATCTCTGCAACTCTCTTAAGTAAATATTATACATATTAATGTTTTTCTATATCTGCAGCAGCACAGCATCAGCGAGGCCATATCCTCTCAGCAAAGGCAATGGGATCCCTTCCCAGGTGACCCTGAACAATCTCTGCCTTTCCAGGATCCCAGATAGCCCATTTCTATATAGAATTCTTTAGAGGCAGGGGAAAAGTGATAACATCAGGCACATCCAATCTGAATGTAGCTGGGCATGCTTTTAATATAAGCCTGTTGTATAGTATTTTAAAGAACTAAATGAGACTATGATGGATTAGCAATTAATTTGCGTAATGCATTAAGATGAAATTTTCCCTGTTTGAGACAGCAGATCAATTAAACGTAGTACCTAAAAAATAAAATGGCAAGATAATAGACCTGACAGAAATAAAACAGTGATGTTAGCTTTGCATATGAGACTATTCAGAACTTCTGATTTCTGTCTGCACAACACATTTGTTAGGTGTCAATGGAACATTCTATTCATTTCATTAGAACTTTTGGATGAAACTCAATTTTCATTAAACTCTGGTAATAGTCGTATGAATAAATGTGGTAGCTATTAATATTTTGGTATATGGATTGAATCTAAATATAAAAAAGACTGCGGTAACCCAATATTCAATACATGTGGCATGCAGTCAGAGACAAGGCATTCACACATAAGATTCCTGTTGGATCAGATGAGATGCATTATTTTTAACTTTAAAATTCTAGGAATATATTATTCTGGAAAATATCTAAAGATATCTTCACAAATTTGAATATGTATTAGTAACTCAGATACCTCTTATTTCTTTCTTTTTTTTTTTTTTTTTTTTTTTTTTTTTTTTTTTTTTTGTTGAGATGGAGTCTCCTTCTGTAGCCCAGGCTGGAGGGCAGTGCAGTGCAGTGGCACGATCTCGGCTCACTGCAACCTCCATTTTCTGGGTTCCAGTGATTCTCCTGCCTCAGCCTCTCCAGTAGCTGGGAAGACAGGCACCCGCCACCATGACCAGCTACACTTATTTCTTTCTTAACTCCAAAAATGACTTGTAGTTTATAGTAATCTATCAAATATACACATAGAGTGTGTCTTTCTTGAAAATAAATAGTACTCCTTAGTGAAAATTCATTTTTATTATACCTACTGAAATACAGCATCATTAAGTATGGCATCAGGACATTTTTATAATAATATTTCAGTTATTTAGCCATCAACTTTATTATCAATATTTGGTTGGGGAAGATGAGATAATGAAAAAAACACAGCAACTAAAATGTGACAAACTGGATTACTATTTGATAAAAATAAGAAGGTAACATTTCTCTAGACAACTTTTATATATCTGAGCAGTTTGCTTGTCAGTCTATCTAGTGTTTCTGCCTCAATTCCCTCATTGATCTACAAAAGCTACTCTGTGTTATTTTGAGAATTCTCCCCACCACCACGCCCCCTGTAATGCCATTGGTGTTGACCCTCCTACCTCCGCCCACATTAGGAGCGAATATGTTACCCTAGTCTGGTTCACTCGCGTACCAAACCTCAGTGAAAAGTGATTGGGAAAGTAAGGCATGGCAGGAACAAGTCCTGTTCCTTTTCCTCTTTCTTGGCACACATGAAGGTATATTTAGCCATATCTCCTGTGTTCAGGTGGGTCCGTTGATTGAAACCTTTTCAAGCCAGTAAATAGTGCTTTTCCTGTAGTTCCTCTCTCTTCTCTGCTGTGGAGACATTTAAGGGCATGAGTCGTAAGTTGAAGACGGCATGACTGCATCAGACATGACTTGAGCAACAAATAAAACTTTCTCGTGTTAAACTACAATAAGCTTGGTGAGTGTTTACGACTGCAGCAAACCTTATCTAGTCTAATGGAGATGAGTATGCAACCCTAGGTCAATGAGAGTTCAGAGTTGTTGTTGGAACTGTTGTAAATATAAGCAATCTGCTTCTACTGATATTGTCAAGATCATAGACATTGAGCTTAAGGCTACTCGAGATCAGCTTGCATGGTGTGGAAGACTCAGTCCGAATTTAGAAAGCACAATAGAAATCAAAGCTAAGATATAGAGATAAGCACATGTTTTTCTTAAATCCTTTGAATATCCAACTGTAGCCATATTGGGACATTTCAATTATTTAATCCAATACATTCTTTTTATCCTAAGTCAATATGAGTTTTCTGTCATTTGCATTTTGAAGAATTAAGATTGATAATGACCATAGACGTTTTAGTAGATTTTCTACAAACTTGCTACACCCATATTTTAACCTTTGAAGACAAGGATTCCCATTTGATTGATTTACACAGTGAGCACAGAAATGACAGTGAATAGAAAAGCTTATTTTTTAATTGTCCCTTATTTCATACCCCACCACAGAGTCAGTATGATTGTGATCCTGGTTTGGAGTTTCGTTTCTCGGTGCTACTTAATTTAAATTAACTTCTGGATAGCCTTTGTATGTCACATTTTGTGTGAAAACACATGAACACACACACATAAATACAAAATTGTAATATCACTTTAAAAAGGATAACTTTAGAATAATATTTAAATCCTGAATTTTTAGACAATTATAATACCCACTTTCATGTTGAAAACATTTTTATTCTTTGAATCATATTTCTAGCTATGAAAATATCACATACCTGCTGAGCTCCAGAAAATCTCTGCTCTTTAAGAATCAATTTCACAAACTTAATTTTTCTTGTCTTCTCAATTTTATTAGGCTAAGTCTTATAAGCACTGGGTTAAAATTAAACTACAAAAACTTTCTGAATCTTATTTTTATTGATTTCTCCATACACAGCTTTAAAAATGGCTACTATATACACTGTGAAAGAATTTTGGCCTATATATGAACACTCTAATAAATTATTTATATTTAGAATTATCTATGTGATTTTGAATCATAGAATTCTCAGCTTAATTTAGTGGGCTGTATTAAGATTTAAATTTTCTTTGTAATAGATCACAAATCAATTTATCCCAGCATAATGGCATATTTGTTTTACTTTTATTATTTTGTGACTCCAACATAGGGTTAAACGTAAAATAATATTTTCTAGAGAACACTTAATTTATTTTAAGGACAATGTATTTAAAAATACAGACATATTTTCTACAGGAATAAGCTTATCAGCTAATGTTTTTCTTGAATCATAAATTTTCCAGACTTTTTATAACTATGTCTCTGCATTAATTTATTTATTGATCTATTTAATAATCATATATAACTCCAGGATACTGTAAACTATTGATCCCATTTATAATAGATTGCCTCCAGACTTACCTTAATACCACTGAAATAATTTCACTAACACTAGAGAATAATTGCTTGTTTTTATCATCAGTTCTGAATACTATCAGGTAATAATGTAAATAAGTTTGATCAGCTATTTCAGGAAGCAAAACCTCATAGTAGATTAACTAAAATTCCAAGATTTTTTGTTCATGTGGACTGCTTACTGGCCACAAATTATGTTACAATTGTTTCTATTAACTTTTCTTGCTGTAGATGCTAACAAAGAGGTCTAATCAAATGTAACCATATAAATAAGTCAAATTAGTTATCTCAAACAACTTGGAAGCTATTAACTTGTCTTGCTGTAGATGCTAACAAAGAGGTCTAATCCAATGCAATCATATAAATAATGCAAGTTAGTTATCCCAAACAACTTGAAAGCTTCTGCCAAGGTTGTAAAATCAAACTTTTTGTCTTCATGTAAGTCATGGCATAAATTATTATATAAAAAATAATATGTGAGGAGCTCTTTCATATTATGGTGCCATTTAAAACACAGCAGGGCATAGTGGCTCACTCTTGTAATCCCAGCACTTTGAGAGGTGGAGATGGGCAGATAGCTTGAACCCAGGAGTTGAAGAAGAGCTTAGGCAACGTAGTGGGACCTCATCTTTATAAAAAATAAAAAGTTGGCTGTGTGTTGTGGCGCATGTCTGTAATCTCAGCTATTTGGGAGGCTGACGCAGGAGGATGTCTTGATTTCAAGAGGATGAGGCTGCATTTTGCCACTGCCCTCCACCTGGGGTAACAGAGCAAGATCTTGTCTTAAAATAGAAAAAAAAAAAAAAAAACGGCCCATGGCTGAGTATGGTGGCTCATGCCTACAATCTCAACACTTTAGGAGGGGCTCATGCCTGTGATCTCAACACTTTAGAAGGCCAAGGAGAGGGGATTGCTTGAGCCAAGGAGTTTGAGATCAACCTGGGCAACATAGTGAGACCTCATCTCTATTTAGCCTGGAATGATGGTGTGCGCCTGTAGGTCCAGCTACTTGGGAGGCTGAAGTGGGAGGAACACCTGAGCCTGGGAAGTTGAGGCTGCAGAGAGCTGTGATTGTGTCACTGCACTCCAGCCTGGGCAGTGAGATCCTGTTTTAAAATAAAATAAAACTGGTTCATTATTCAACAGTTTTTCAACTAGAAGAACCTCTTTCACGATATTGATTCTTCCTATCCATGGGCATGTGTTTGTGTCCTCTTTTACTTCATTGAGCAGTGGTTTGTAGTTCTCCCTGAAGAAGTCCTTCACATCCCTTGTAAGTTGGATTCCTAGGTATTTTATTCACTTTGAAGCAATTGTGAAAGGGAGTTCATTCATGATTTGACTCTCTGTTTGTCTGTTATTGGTGTATAAGAATGCTTGTGATTTTTGCACATTGATTTTGTATCCTGAGATTTGCTGAAGTTGCTTATCAGCTTAAGGAGGTTTTGGGCTGAGACCAGGGGGTTTTCTAAACATACAATCTAGTCATCTGCAAACAGGGACAATTTGACTTCCTCTTTTCCTAATTGAATACCTTTTATTTCTTTCTCCTGCCTGATTGCCCTGGCCAGAACTTCCAACACTACGTTGAATAGGAGTGGTGAGAGAGGGCATCCCTGTCTTGTGCCAGTTTTCAAAGGGAATGCTTCCAGTTTTTACCCATTCAGTATGATATTGGCTGTGGGTTTGTCATAAATAGCTCTTATTATTTTGAGATATGTCCCATCAATACCTAATTTATTGAGAGTTTTTAGCATGAAGGGCTGTTGAATTTTCTCAAAGTCCTTTTCTGCATCTATTGAGATAATCATGTGGTTTTTGTCTTTGGTTCTGTTTATATGCTAAATTATGTTTATTGATTTGCGTATGTTGAACCAGCCTTGCATCCCAGGGATGAAGCCCACTTGATCATGGTGGATAAGCTTTTTGATGTGCTGCTGGATTCGGTTTGCCAGTATTTTACTGAGGATTTTCGCATCTATGTTCATCACAGATACTGATCTAAAATACTCTTTTCTTTGTGTGTGTCTCTGCCAGGCTTTGGTATCAGGATGATGCTGGCCTCACAAAATGAGTTAGGGAGGATTGCCTCTTTTTCTATTGATTGGAATAGTTTCAGAAGGAATGGTACCAGTTCCTCTTTGTACCTCTGGTAGAATTCATCTGTGAATCTGTCTGGTCCTGGACTTTTTTGGTTGGTAGGCTATTAATTATTACCTCAATTTCAGAGTCTGTTATTGGTCTCTTCAGGGATTCAACTTCTTCCTGGTTTAATCTTGGGAGGGTGTATGTTTCCAGGAATTTATCCATTTCTTCCAGATTTTCTAGTTTATTTGCCTAGAGGTGTTTATAGTATTCTCTGATGGTAGTTTGTATTTCTGTGGGATCAGTGGTGATATCCCCTTTTATCATTTTTCATTGCATCCATTTGATTCTTCTCTCTTTTCTTCTTTATTGGTCTTGCTAGTGGTTTATTAATTTTCTTGATCTTTTCAAAAAACCAGCTCCTGGATTCATTGATTTTTTGAAGGGGTTTTTTGTGTGTCTATCTCCTTCAGTTCTGCTCTGATCTTAGTTGTTTCTTGCCTTCTGCTAGCTTTTGAATGTGTTTGCTCTTGCTTCTCTAGTTCTTTTACTTTTGATGTTAGTGTGTCAATTTTAGATCTTTCCTGGTTTCTCTTGTGGGCATTTAGTGCTATAAATTTCCCTCTACACACTGCTTTAAATGTGTCCCAGAGATTCTGGTATGTTGTGTCTTTGTTCTCATTGATTTCAAAGAACATCTTTATTTCTGCCTTCATTTCATTATGTGCCCAGTAGTCATTCAGGAGCAGGTTGTTCAGTTGCCATGTAGTTGAGTGGTTTTGACTGAGTTTCTTAATCCTGAGTTCTAGTTTGACTGCACTGTGGTCTGAGAGACAGTTTGTTATAATTTCTGTTCTTTTACATTTGCTGAGGAGTGCTTTACTTCCAACTATGTGGTCAATTTTGGAATGGTGCGATGTGGTGCTGAGAAGAATGTATATTCTGTTGATTTGAGGTGGGGAGTTCTGTAGATATCTATTAGGTCTGCCTGGTGCAGAGCTGAGTTCAATTCCTGGATATCCTTGTTAACTTTGTGTCTTGTGATCTGTCTACTGTTGACAGTGGGGTGTTAAAGTCTCCCATTATTATTTTGTGGGAGTCTAAGTCTCTTTGTAGGTCTCTAAGGACTTGCTTTATGAATCTGGGTACTCCTGTATTGGGTGCATATATATTTAGGATAGTTAGCTCTTCTTGTTGAATGGATCCCTTTACCATTATGTAATGGCCTTCTTTGTCCCCTTTGATCTTTGCTGGTTTAAAGTCTGTTATATCAGAGACTAGGATTGCAACCCCTGCCTTTTTTAGTTTTCCATTTGCTTGGTAGATCTTCCTCCATCCCTTTATTTTGAGCCTATTTGTGTCTCTGCATGTGAGATGGGTCTCCTGAATACAGCACACTGATGGGTCTTGGCTCTTTATCCAATTTGCCAGTCTGTGTCTGGAGCATTTAGCTGATTTACATTTAAGGTTAACATTGTTATGTGTGAATTTGATCCTGTCATTATGATGTTAGCTGGTAATTTTGCTCGTTAGTTGATGCAGTTTCTTCTGAGCACAGATGGTCTTTACAATTTGTCATGTTTTCGCAGTGGCTGGTACCGGTTGTTCCTTTCCATGTTTAGTGCTTCCTTCAGGAGCTCTTTTAGGGCAGGCCTGGTGGTGACAAAATCTCTCAGCATTTGCTTGTCTGTAAAGTATTTTATTTCTCTTTCACTTCTGAAGCTTAGTTTGGCTGGATATGAAATTCTGGGTTGAAAAATTCTTTTATTTAAGAACGTTGAATATTGGCCCCCACTCTCTTCTGGCTTGTAGAGTTTCTGCTGAGAGATCCACTGTTTGTCTGATGGGCTTCCCTTTGTGGGTAACCTGACCTTTCTCTCCGGCTGCCCTTAACATTTTTTCCTTCATTTCAACTTTGGTGAATCTGACAATTATGTGTCTTGGAGTTGCTCTTCTCAAGGAGTATCTTTGTGGCGTTCTCTAGTAATTTATAGATTCAATGCCATCCCCATCAAGCTACCAATGGCTTTCTTCACAGAATTGGAAAAAACTACTTTAAAGTTCATATGGAACCAAAAAAGAGCCCGCATTGCCAAGTCAATCCTAAGCCAAAAGAAAAAAGCTGGAGGCAGCATGCTACCTGATTTCAAACTATACTACAAGGCTTCAGTAACCAAAATATCATGTACTGGTACCAAAACAGAGATATAGACCAATGGAACAGAACAGAGCCCTCAGAAATAATACCACACGTCTACAACCATCTGATCTTTGACAAACCTGAAAAAAACAAGAAATGGGGAAAAGATTCCCTGTTTAATAAATTGTGGGGGGAAAACTGGCTAGCCATATGTAGAAAGCTGAAAATGGATCCATTCCTTACACCTTATACAAAAATTAATTCAAGATGGATTAAAGACTTAAATGTTAGACCTAAAACCATAAAAACCCTAGAAGAAAATCTAGGTAATACCATTCAGTACAAAGGCATGGGCAAGGACTTCATGTCTAAAACACCAAAAGCAATGGCAACAAAAGCCAAAATTGACCAATGTCATCTAATTAAACTGAAGAGCTTCTGCACAGCAAAAGAAACTACCATCAGAGTGAACAGGCAACCTACAGAATGGGAGAAAATTTTTGCAACCTACTCATCTGACAAAGGGCTAATATCCAGAATCTATAAAGAACTCAAACAAACTTACAAGAAAAAAACAAACAACCCCATCAAAAAGTGGGCGAAGGTTATGAACAGACACTTCTCAAAAGAAGACATTTATGCAACCAACAGACACATGAAAAAATGCTCTTCATCACTGGCCATCAGAGAAATGCAAATGAAAACCACAATGAGATACCATCTCACACCAGTTAGAATGGTGATCATTAAAAAGTCAGGAAACAACAGGTGCTGGAGAGGATTTGGAGAAATAGGAACACTTTTACACTGTTGGTGGGACTGTAAACTAGTTCAACCATTTTGGAAGACAGTGTGGCAATTCCTCAAGGACCTAGAACTAGAAATACCATTTGACCCAGCCATCCCATTACTGGGTATATACCCAAAGGATTATAAATCATGCTGCTATAAAGACACATGCACACGTATGTTTATTGCGACACTATTCACAATAACAAAGACTTGGAACCAACCCAAATGTCCATCAATGGTAGACTGGATTAAGAAAATGTGGCACATGTCCACTATGGAATACTATGCAGCCATAAAAAAGGATGAGTTCATGTCCTTTGTAGGGACATAGATGAAGCTGGAAACCATCATTCTGAGCAAACTATCACAAAGACAAAAAACCAAACACCGCATGTTCTCACCCATAGGTGGGAATTGAACAATGAGAACACTTGGACACAGGAAGGGGAATATCACACACCGGGGCCTGTCGTGGGTTGGGGGAGTGGGGAGGGATAGCATCAGGAGATATACCTAATGTAAATGATGAGGTAAGGGGTGCAGCACACCAACATGGCACATGTATATGTACGTAACAAACCTGCACGTTGTGCACATGTACCCTAGAACTTAAAGTATAATAAAAAAGAAACTAAAGCTGCATCAGTTAAATGTGTTCTCTAAATGGTTTGAAGAGTAGACTGAATTATTCTCACCACAAAAAATGATGTATGAGGTGCTAGACACATTAATTAGCTTGATTAACAATTTCACAATGTATACGTATATCAAAAAGTCACATTATACATTGTAAATATATACAATTTTTATTTGTTTACTATAATAAAGAGATGTAATAATCAAAAAAAAAAAAAGAACCTCTTTCAAGTAAGAACCTGATCTGGTGTATATCATATCCTCTTATATACAAGGCTCTTAAAATATACTTTGAAATATAGTTATCTATAATAAAAATACACTAAGTCTTGATTACAGGTAAGCCTACTTGGAAAAGATGTATTCACTGTGGCTAATAGAAGTGTGAAACATTATCAATGGATTTTTTTATTGCACAACCACACTGTTGTGGGTATAGAGGAAGCCAAAGAACACTTAAAGGCATCTAGCTCATATGCAACAGCTATACCACATGATGGAGGGGATCAATATCAGAAATGGCAGCAATGGACTAGTAGTCACCAGGGTTCTCCACAACTTGCTTACGGAGTCATTGGATGACTTTTCATTAGATTATATAAGACAGGAGTTACAAATACAAATGCCTACTGTAACCAGATTTCCCAATTTTCAAGGGCAGCAAAAAAAAACCCCAGAAATATTAATATATATGGAATTTCTCAAATTGAAAATGTGCCCTGTATTTATTTTATATACTGTATGGGTCAATGATTTATAGTCTAAATAAAATTCATTAAACAAGACTTTTCTACACACGAGTGTTCAGAGCTTGGTTTAGGTACCCAAGGGTCTTAAGTCACACAAGGGAGATAGCATGAAAGAAAAAGCATGTTGGAAATGTACCTACTGACAAGTTAACATAGTTTGTGACCAAGAAGGGCTTAATGTTTTCTCAGCTTGACTAAAATTTAGACAGGTTTTTTCCTGACTTTCTGCCCTGACCTTCCATTTCTTAGAGCATTTACTTTAGAAAATATGTAAATTTTTTCTCTGCCCCTTGGAGATGTAAATCTTTTAAAAACCTCTTGCCAGTTTTACTACCCAAGAATAATTTTTAAAGAAGCTGGAAGTCATCCTTTTGAAATGCAGTCATCAAAAAAAAAAAAAAAAAAAATAGTTCCCCTGTCTGCAGGAGGGTAGAAGTGTAACTTTAATGGGTACCTACTGGCAAATACAAAAGGCCTAATCACAGAGAAAAACATTTGCAAACCAAAAAAAGTGAATAGGTCTAACATATCCCATTGATCTACCTCTCCCTAAAGTTCTGGGATATGTTTTCCATAACTCACACTAGCACTTAAAAATCCTCATGCTTTACATTTCAGTGGATTAATTTCAAAGTGAGTTATGTTCCCTTCTCCCATTGCAATAGTCTTGAATAAAGACTTTCTTGCATGTTTCACTTTCTTCAGTGGAATTTTTGATCTGACAGTGGGTTTCAACACTTGAAGCTTAATTTAGAGATATAGGGGAAATGTGACTAATTATATTACAGGCAGGATACAGTCATTTGTACAGATTACACATTGTAATTACCTGTGTACTAACCTATCTTACAAAGGAAGGAGTGGCCTAGTTTTCGGCAATATCGCTCACAAGTAGGGAATGCCACTGACAATAGACACCCAATACATGTGTTGTGAGTGAATGGAATGTGATATAGATAAATAGTCCTGCCCAATCCATCAAGTTAGTTACTCTCTGAAAATAAAATGAACTGAAATCAAAGAATTTTAAATAAGAAGATCTGGAAGTAGTATATTGTAGAGGGAAAATGCATGTGTTTTAGTAATCCACATGTTAATTTGAATACAACTGTATCCATTTATCGGTTACATAATCACAGGCAAAATACTCTCATATACTATAGAATGTTCATATGTAAATTAGGGAAACAGTAGCAACACTTGTCAAATATCCTATGAGGATACTCAATATTTAGTAGTTTTTTATATATTATAAAATGTATATTGCATACAGTTTACTATTCTCAATTTATTTTTTCTAAAAGTAAACATTCTAAAGAACACTATACTGACTAATACTGGAGTAATATATTACTATTTTGAAAAAAAACCCTAATGTATATATATTAGAATTTCTCACCACTTGGGAATCATCCTGTTTCTAATCCTGCCAGAGCTATTGTTTTTGTTGTTATTCAAAAGGACAACATATTTTTCTCTACCATGTGAATTCCTGTTCATACTTCAAAGACTATATTGACTACCACATCTCTATTAAATCAGTAATTAAAGTCACTTACTCTGTGTTCTCTTGATGTCTTTTACATAGTTTTTATATGAATGTCATATTATTGCACTGTACTTATGTCTTTACTTTTCCATATTTGATTAAATTTAGATGTTCTTGAAGGTAGAAACCATGACTGTTTCATTACTGTTTCTTGAAGACTTGTCATCTGTGTCTGACACATAACAGATACTCAATATAGAGTTGTTGATTGGCTGGCTGACTAGCTGGTTGAGGCTATTTGTCTCAATTTCTGTTCCAAAGTGAATAAAACATGAAGAATTAAGAGAAAACCTTAAAAACAAAAGCAAAATTATTTTACACTTTCCAAAAATAAGAATTCTAGTAAAGATAAATGGTTGAAATAATAAGATTTGCTTGATTCAAAATCAGAAAAATATACGAAAAACACTATTGTTGTTCCGTAATGTATCTTTATTTATTGTGAATGGGTATGACAGACGCAAAGGAGAGCATATGTACAAACACACACACACTTATACATACACACCCTCTCACTATACCATTGTTTGGTCAAGTATTCTAATGGTATAAAATTGTTATATGTCTTAGGAATATTACAAATATTTCTATTTGTTTGGTTCCACAAGTTATAGTTTATAAAGATAGAATACTTCATGGTTTTGAACAGAAACAAAAATGAATAGCTTTAAAAATGCTAGTATTGTTTGTGTTATTTCTCTGGGCCAAGCATAGCTACATATTTCCCATTCCACTTAATCTACACATTAACCATGTATAGTAATTTCTATTAGGTTTTCATATTGTAAAAAAATTTACAATTAGAAAGAAACTTTGGCTCAGTTCCCTCAAGTAACTTGAGGTGAAATGCAGATTTGGGTATAAGGATCTACGAATAGAAAGCCTATGTTTTTAAGTACTTACTACCATCTTGATAGTAGACACACACAGATTTTAGAGAACTTTGCAATTTATAGGTAGAGGATCTCATAAAAAGGCTGAATACATTGGCATTGTTTAATAACGTTGCCTTTAGCAGGATATGAAAAAAGCATGCATGTATCTGATGTGTAGGTATTATGTTAAAAGATCACTGTGATGAGCAGGTGAGGTGGCTCACACCTGTAATCCCAGCATTTTGGGAGACTGAGATGGGTGAATTGTTGAGGTCAGGAGTTCGAGACCAGCCTGGTGACCATGGTGAAGCCCCGTCTCTACTAAAAATACAAAAATTAGCTAGGCGGGGTGGCGCACACCTGTAGTCCCAGCTCCTCAGGAGGCTGAAGCAGGAGAATCGTTTGAACCGGGGAGGCGGAAGTTGAAGTGAGCCAAGATCACAATACTGCACTCCAGCCTGGGTGACAGAGCTAGACACTGTCAAAAAAAAAAAAAAAAAAAAAAAAAAAAGAAAAAAATCACTGAAAATATGTTTTCAGTATTCTTTACTTCAGAAGAGGCCAAATCTAGAAATAATTCAGATTTCAGAGAGAGAGAATAATAACTTTCTAACAGAATGAAAAGGGATTGCTACTTTGTTATATATACACAAGGCACTGTAGATACTTTGCATATATAATTTCTTTTTTAGCAATCGCTTTTATTTTTACATTTAATAGAGAATTTCATGTGGATTCATTATGTTTTAAAGAAGAGAAAGTGAGTGAGAGAATAAGAGAGACTAAGAAGAATTATATGATCCACTTTAAAAGCTACCAAGTTAACGATGAAATTTCATTTTCTTTAGTACTCTAAAGAATTAGAACCACAGAAATACAAATCTCACCTTCTTAATTAGAGCAAATTAATTACTAAAAATAATAAAAACAATTTGCCATAGTTTCATTTTGCCTAAAATTACATATTAGTTTCTATATGCATTTCTAGCTGGAAATACAATATCTGTTTATTAACATTTGTTGCCAAGTACTGTATATCATCCATAATTCTGGGTTATTAAATTCCTGAAGCATGCAATACAGCAAACTTAATAGATTTTATGCAAATTGTTATATAACAAAATAAGACCAGATGGTACTCATCATAGCAGAATCTTTCCATAACAGTTTCATATTTTTGTTAAAATTAAACAAAACATAAAGGCACCTCTGACTTTTAACTTCTTATTTTAATTCATTCCCTATAACTATTTTTTAACCATTCTCCTAACTCTTTGTACCACATTATGATACAATTTCAGTTTTAACATTCTTTTGATATTAAGTAAGTTGCTGTCTTTGACTTGTTATTAGGATCTATGGGATAAGTGTGAATAACATTTTCATTGTAAAACAATCTACAAGTGTATAGAAAGAACAAAATTCAGCTTAGGATATGGCTCAACCACTAATGCATAAACAATACCAAAATGTTGTTATTAGTGTTACATTTAGATTTATTAATGTATAAAATAGGTATATAAACAGAAATACATATATATATTTACTACTCATTTTATCAATTATTTTCTCCTTCTACATTCAAGGCACATAGAGTTAATTGCTCAAGGAAAATTAATGCAGACAATACATTTGAATTCAGTGCACATTTTCTTTAATCCTATGATTTTGCTAATTGGTTTATACAGAAACACAGAGCACTGCATTTTATAATTACATTGAACTTTTATTAACTGTTTTGCAGAATTAGAATAGTGGGAAAAAAGTAATGATTTCATAGGAAATTCACTTGTATTTATTTAAATTCATGAAATTATTTAGGGCAAATGTTCATTTTTGGCATGAAGAAAGAAAGCGGATATAGTTGTGATAGTTGAAGTAAGACAGAAGAAGGTCACTTGGTTAGTCCATTGACTTCCTAGAAGGCAGCCTGGAAGAGGAGCATGAGATGTGTATGTCAGTGGGAACACACAGGGTGAATCTGCTCTTTGTATAATAAGGAGTTTAATTTGAAATGTAACAGTGAAAAACAAGGAGTAAAGCACATGTATTTTTATAAGACACCAGAGAATAGGTGAAAGAGCCCTATTCACGATTTTATTTCTCAGTGGAGAGATATAAAGGGATCCTCCACTGTGCTTGTATTATAAGATACATTTCAGAAAGACTTTTAAAACTTAAAGTGAGCATGAGAATTGAAAATAAACAAATGAGCGAACAAACAGCAAAGTGGTTTACACATCATGTTGAAAAATTTCTTGTCTATCATTAATAAAGTTGGCATTACCACGGTAAAATGAAATTTTAAAATAACAATAGAATATTTTAAAATACATAACCACTTGCACATTAAGTTAACCTTAAAGTATATCCACTTGGTTGAATGGAAAATTATTCACTTTTTAGAGATTATTTAGAAACTAAAATAAAAATCTGTATGTTTTAACTGTTTTCACAGAAATAGATTTTTTTTTTATTATGAGCAATTGAAAACAAATAGCAGAGCACAGTCATTTGGCCATCTATGAGGTTACTATTCAGAATTAATAGTGTTGATTAATATTAACAATAACTTCTCAGAGACAGAAAATTGAAGGTACTTTTAACAGTAGCATTCAAAATTATATAATAAACACATAATTAATTAACAAAAATGAGTAGGGTTTATTGATATAAAAAATCTAAGGTATGAACCAAAATTTTATTTCCATAAATGGAGACTAATGAATAATTTGCAAATGAAACAATAAGTGGTTAAAAGATTAGATTTCCCTAATTTACCTAGTCATATAGCATAATTTTATTTGAATATCGTATTTCCTCATAAGCCTTAAATTTAAATTTAAAATTCATATGAAAAATAAAATGGATAAAAAGTAAAAGATGGTGTGTAAAATTTGCCTAAATAATATCAAAGTTTTATCAATCTTCATTAATTAAATCATTTTGATATTGGCTCAGCAACAGATATGCAGATCAATGAGCATAAAACAAGTTATTAATTAAAGAAAAAATGTATTAGAAAAAATGTATTAGGTAAAACTGGCACTTCAAATTAGAGAAGAATATTATTATCGTTTCAGTAAATGTCATAATTTACAAAGGCTAATAATACAATTGCTATTTCTCCTCTGTCAGCTTTCCTTTGGAATAACGATATGCTCTTATTCTTAATGCCTAGAATCTTTTTTGTTACATTGGAAGTCTATTCCCTAGAAGCCTTCCTATGCAAATGATGGTGCAAACACAGTTTTCATTAGTATTTTTTGTTTGATCATTGTCAGCCTTTTGTCCAACTTGAATATTGTAATATATAGATATTTTTAGCAGAGTCTCTTGTCTCTTTAACAATGTTTTATACTAAACTTTCTTTACTTTTAGTTTTACACTTGAATATTAGAATATTTTAAATAGTTGTATTACACACACACACACCCATACATGTATCTCTAAATTGTATAGAAAAGCTTATTTTTTTAATAATCTTGGCATTCCACTCCTCAGAATTCTAAAGAGATTTGTTTTTTAAATTATTGAATACATAATCAAGCCACTAGGGGTGGGAGAAAGCCTTAGGCTGAGACATCTTGAATATACTAATTATTTGAAATTTAAAATAAAATGGCCACAAAAATACATGCTTCCTTAAGTCTTAATCAATTTTTACTGTAGTACATAAATGTGTAGATACATCAAGTTTATAAACAATGCTTAAAAATTTAGTAACATAACAGCCAATCTTAGATCATTATGAAAAAATAATTAAAAAATAGAAGTATTGTGACCAGAGCCCTGAGATCTTTAAAACATTGGGGTCAAGTTGCAGCAAAGAACAGCCTGGAAGTGCTCATCATGGAAGAAAACATCAATTGAAAGTCCTTCTGTTAGGTTCTGTCAGAATACTTTCAAATCAGTTCTGCCAAGAGCTGGTGATTTTTGAGTGGCTAGATCATAAGTAATTTTATTATTTACTATAGTAGAAGTTTGCAAACATTATATATTATGCATTTGGGAATTAAGTAAACAAATGTGACACACACACAAATAACCTCAATTCACTTCACATGACATATATAAATATTAATGTAAAATGGATCAGAGACCTAAATATAAAATATAAAACTATAAAACTTCTAAAACAATGTATGTGAGAAAATACTTGTAACCTTGAGGAAAGCAAAGACTTCTTAGAAAAGCGAAAGAATAATCTATATAAAAACAAATCTGTGAATTAGATTTCATAAGAATTAATAACTTCTGCTGCTCAAAAAATTAAGAAAATAAAGAGACAAGTCATAGATTGGGAGAAAACATTGTTAAAATAATGGTATTTAAAATATAGAAAGAAATTTCAAAATTTAGTAATAAAAAAGCAAAAAAAGCTAATAAAGGGGGATCAAAATATTTGACTTGTACTACAACAATTAAAAAATTACAGAAAAAAGACAAACACATCAAAAGATGTTCAACAACTTTAGGAATTAAGGAAATGCAAATTAATATCAAAATAGAATCCTACGACATTCGTACAAGAATAGATCAAATTGATGCAAACCAACAAACAAAATTCACCGTTTCAAGAGCTGGCCAGGATGAAAAGGCAACTGAGAATTCCACATATTGTTCGAAAGAATGCAAAATTGCATACCAACTCTGGAAAATACTTTGTAATTTCTTATAAATTTAATTATACTTTTACCATATGAACTATGGATCCCACTGCTAGGTATTTAATGAAGAAAAAGGTTTCCACAAAACCTCAGCAAATGTTTATGACAACTTCCTTCATAGCTACAAAAATTAACCCAAATGTCCCTAAATCAGAAAATAGACAAATTCTATCTACCCATGAAATACAAATAACAAAAAGAAATGAACTACAGACATGTACAACAAAAAAGAATCTCAAATTCATTATGCTAAAAGAAAGTAGGCAAACTCAAAAATTTGTGTAAATATCCTCAATAAAATATTAGTAAATTAGACCCAGCAATATTTAAAAAGAACCATATTTCATGACCTACTAGATTTATTCCATTTCTACTAGTCTGGTCCCTTCTTTGAAAGCCAATCAATGGAATCTACCATATCAGCAGACTAAAGAAAAAAAATTATATGATCATATAAATGCATCCAAAAAAGCATTGACAATCAACACTCATTTATAACACTCTTAGCAAACTAGGACCAGAGGGGTTCTTTCTCTACTTGATAAAGAATGCATACAAAACATCTACAACTAGCATCATACTTAAGCATGAAAGACTTAATGCTTTCCCTGTAATATTGGGAAAAAGACAAATATGTTCCCTCTCATTCAACACAATGTTGGAAGTCCTACCAACTGTAATGAGTCAG
Source organism: Homo sapiens (assembly GCF_000001405.40). NCBI lineage: Eukaryota > Metazoa > Chordata > Mammalia > Primates > Hominidae > Homo > Homo sapiens. Next base: position 24,968,173 of record NC_000005.10, on the reverse strand, counting down.
AAAAATAAATGAAAACTAAAGATGTTGTAACTAAAAAAAAGCAATAAAACTCTCATTATTTGAAGTTGTCATGATTGTCTATGAAAAGAGGAAAAAGAGAACAACAAAAAACTTTCAGGCACTAAGATGAAAAAAAAACTCACTATTTGAGCATGTCACGATTTTCTATGTTAAAAAGAAAAACAACTAAAACCCCTCATTGAACTAATGAGTGAGTTTAGCAGGGTTGCAGGTGTGAGGTCAATACACAAAAATCAATTACATTTCTACATATTAACAATTACCATATGAAAGCCAAAATTTAAAACTCAATAGCATTTATAATTGTTCCAAATAAAATAAAATATGTAGGTTACATATAAACTTAACCAAACATGTATATAATCTATGTACTGAAAATTATATAAATTACTGCTAAAAATTTAAAGAAGGGCTAAAAAAATGAAGAGACATAGTGTATTTATGTATTAGAGGACTGATTATGGTACAGATGTTGATGTTTAACAAAATTCTTTTTTTTTTTGAGATGGAGTCTCGCACTGTCGCCCAGGCTGGAGTGCAGTGGAGAGATCTCAGCTCACTGCAACCTCCGCCTCCCAGATTCAAGCAATTCTCCTGCCTCAGCCTCCCGAGTAGCTGAGATTACAGGCTCCCGCCACCATGCCGGGCTAATTTTTTTGTTTGTTTGCTTTGTATTTTTCGTAGAGGCAGGGTTTCACCCATGTTGGTCAGGCTGGTCTCAAACTCCTGACCTCATGATCTGCCCACCTCAGCCTCCCAAAGGGCTGGGATTACAGGTGTGAGCCACCGTGTCTGGCCAATAAATAAAATTCTTATCAAAATTCAAGCAATGTTTCTTTCTTATGAACAAGTTTATTCGAAATTTTATATAAGAAGGTCTAGATCGGTATAATTTTAATGACATTGAAAGTCAGAAAAAAAGTGGGAGGGATCACTCTACCCGATATTAAGACCAACTCTAGTAAATAAAAGAATATAGTAGTGAAAAAGGGATAGACACCTAAATCAATAGCACAAAATAAAAATGCCAGAAATAGTTTTGCACTATGTCAAACAGTGTTTTTAACAAAGGTGCAAAAGCAATTCAATTGAGGATGATGGCTTTTCAACAAATTTGCCCAAAGCAGTGAGACACCCACAAGCGAAAAAAGAAAAAGAAAAAAAAAAACCAAAAAAACAGAATCTAAAGGCAGACAACCTATATAAAAATTAACTCATACTGAATGGGCAAAAGCTGGAATCATTCCCTTTGAAAACCAGCACAAGAAAAGGATGTCCTCTCTCACTACTCCTATTCAACATAGTATTGAAAGTTCTGGCCAGGGCAATTACACAAGAGAAAGAAATAAAGCGTTTTCGATTAGGAAGAGAGGAAGTCAAATTGTCTCTGTTTGCAGATGACATGATTGTATATTTAGAAAACCCCATAAACTCAGCCCCAAATCTCCTTAAGCTGACAAGCAACTTCAGCAAAGTCTTAGGATCCAAAATCAATGTGCAAAAATCACAGGCATTCCCATACACCAATAACAGAAAACCAGAGCGCCAAATCATGAGTGAACTCCCATTCACAATTGCTACAAAGAGAATAAAGTATCTAGGAATACAACTTACAAGGGATGTGAAGGCCTCTTCAAGGAGAACTGCAAACCACTGCTCAAGGAAATAAGAGAGGACACAAACAAATGGAAATTCCATACTCATGGACAGGAAGAATCAATATTGTGAAAATGGCCATACTGCGCAAAGTAATTTGTAGATTCAATGCTATCCCCATCAAGCTACCATGGACTTTCTTCACAGAATTAGAGAAAAATACTTTAAATTTCATATGGAACCAAAAAAGAGCCCGTATAGCCAAGACAATCCTAAGCAAAAAGAACAAAGCCGGAGGCATCACGCTACCTGAATTCAAACTATACTAAAAGGCTACAGTAACTAAAATAGCATGGTGCTGGTACCAAAACAGATATATAGACCAATGGAACAGGACAGAGACCTCAGAAATAATGCCACACATCTACAACCATTTGATCTTTGACAAACCTGACAAAAACAAGCAATGGGGAAAGGACTCTCTATTTAATAAATTGTGTGGGAAAACTGGCTAACCAAAACTGAAACTGGACCCCTTCCTTACAGCTTATACAAAAATTAACTCAAGATGGAGTAAAGACTTAAAAGTAAGACCTAAAACCATAAAAACCCTAGAAGAAAACCTAGGCAATACCATTGAGGACATAGGCATAGTCAAAGACTTCATGACTAAAACACCAAAAACAATGGCAACAGAAGCCAAAATTGACAAATGGGATCTAAATAAACTAAAGAGCTTCTGTACAGCAAAAGAAATGATCATCAGAGTGAACAGGCAACCTACAGAATGGGAGAAATTTTTTGCAATCTATCCATCTGACAAAGAGCTAATATCCAGAATCTACAAGGAACTTAAACCAAATTTACAAGAAAAAAACAACCCCATCAAAAAGTGGGCAAAGGATATGAACAGACACTTCTCAAAAGAAGGCATTTATGTGGCCAACAAACATGAGAAAAAGCTCATCATCACTGGTCATTAGAGAAATGCAAATCAAAACCACAATGAGATACCATCTCACACCAGTTAGAATGGCGATCATTAAAAAGTCAGGAAACAACAGATGCTGGAGAGGATTTGGAGAAACAGAAATGCTTTTACACTGTTGATGGGAGTATAAATTAGTTCAACCATGGTGGAAGTCTGGGTAGTGATTCCTCAAGGATCTAGAAGCAGGAAAACCATTTGACCCACAATCCCATTACTGGATATATACCCAAAGGATTATAAATCATTCTACTATAAAGACAGATGCACACATATGTTCATTGCAGCACTATTCACAATAACAAAGACTTGGAACCAACACAAATGCCCATCAATGATAGACTGGATAAAGAAAATGTGGCACATATACACCGTGGAATACTATGTAGCCATAAAAAAGAATGGGTTCATTCCTTTGCAGGGACATGGATGGAGCTGGAAACCATAATTCTCAGCAAACTTACACAGGAACAGAAAACCAAACAATGCATGTTATCACTCATAAATGGAAGTTGAACAATGAGAACACATGGACACAGGGAGGGGAACATCACATACCAGGTCTTGTTGGGTGGTTGGGGGCTAGGGGAGGGATAGCATTAGGAAAAATACCTAATGTAGATGACAGGTTGATGGATGCAGCAAACCACCATGGCACGTGTATACCTATGTAACAAACCTGCACGTTCTGCACATGTTTCTCGGAACTTAAAGTAGAATTTAAAAAATGAACTCAAAATGCAAGCATAATGCAGTTAAATATAGAACTATAAAACTTCTGGAGGCACTGGCGTGAGATAGAAGATAACTTATACTTCTTAGATTTCACACTGAAAGAACAATATAAAGGGGAAATAATGACAAATTGGACTTCATTAAAATTAAAAACTATTACTGTGCTAAAAGTTGAAATGATGAACAGAAAAGCCACAGATTTTGAGAAAATACTTGTAGGCAATACATTCAGCAAAAGACTTGCATTTAGAAAATATTTTTTTTAAAATTATCAAAACTCAACAGTAATTGAACAAACAGTACAATAAGTAAATGGGCAAAAGACACAAACAGACATTTCACTGAAAAGTACATTCATATGGCAAATAAACATATAAAATATGTTCAACATCATGAATGATACAGGATATATAAATTTTAACCACAATAACATATCTCACTTTGCCTAACAGAATGATGAAAATTAATATAATAATAATAATAATATAATGATAATACCAAATGTTGGCAATGATGCAGAGAAGGAAGAGGAACAAACTAAACTCAAGGTAGAAGAAGAAGGAAAATACTAAACGTTAAATCAGAGATCAACTAAATAGAGAATAGAAAAGTAATTTTAAACTTCAACAAAAATTTTTTAAGATGAATAAAACTGAAAAATATTTAGTTCAGTTGGCTAAGAAAAAAAGCAGAAAGATTCAAATTACTAACATGGGATTTAACGTGGAGACGATATGACAGAACTTACAGAAATAAAAATTATTAAAAGATACTATGCACAATGGCATACCAAACAAATTAGATGAAATAGGTGAAATAGTCAAATTCCTAGAAACACACATATCACTCAAAAAATTTAAACAATCAAAACGTACTTCTGTGAAAGTGAAAAGACTGAGTCAATAATCAAACACTTCCTAACAAAGAAAAGCCCAGGACCAGATGGCTACACTGGGGAATTCTATAAAATATTTAAAGGAAAATACACAATTATCTTTTTCAAAATCTTCCAAAAAAATAGAAGAGGAGTGATCCCTTCCAAACTTATTCTACATGGCTAGGACTATCTTATCACCAAAAGCCAAAGACTTCACAAGAAAGGAAAACAACAGATCTTATGCACTCTATGAATATATATGCAAATATCCTCAAAAAATACATATCCAACAGCTTACTGAAAAGATTATACACCATGAATATTTAACATCAATTCTTAAGAAACTCTTCCAAAAACAGAATAGTAGAGAATACTTCTAAGCTTATTCTATGAGGCTTCTATTACTCTGACATTAAAGCCAGACAAAAATATCTCAAAAAAAAGAAAGTCAATATCTGTTATGAAGATACAAAATATCCTCAGAGAAATATTAGTAAAATAAATCCAACAGTACATTAAAAGATTTATACACCAGGTCCATGAAATTCTCAGATATGAGGAATATAAAGTTGACTCAGAATATGACATTCAATGTAATATACCATATTGTTAGAACAAAGGGCATTATTATTTTAATAAATACAGAAAATTTTATTTGACAAAATATAATGCATTTTCATGATAAAAAAACTCAACAAATTAGAAATAGAAGAAATTTCCTGCAAACAAATAAAGGACAGTTATAAAAAGCTCTCTACTAATATATTGCTTTCCCTATTTATGCCTAGTGTTCCATTATTGGAATGCTAAGCATGTAGGAGTTATTTATATCCTATTGCTCAAGGTGATCATCAAGTTCTGATTGCAAAAATACAAAATTTGCCACCTCAGGCATAAATGGGTTAATGTTAATAGGTAAAAGACTGAATGTTTTCTCATTAATAACTGAAACAAGATGCAGATATTCACTCTCACCACTTTTATTCACCATTGTACATTTGGTGCTATCTAGGACAATTTGACAATAAAGTAAAGTAAAATGCATTCAGATTAGAAAGAATGAAAACTCTCTCTCTTTTCACATGACATGACCTTATGTGTAGAAAAATCCCAAGGAATCCAAAACACCTATTAAAGCTAATAAACAACTTCAGCAAGTTTGCAGGGTACAAGTCAATATATAAAATCAATTGTATGTCTGCACACTAAGACTGAACATCCAAAACTGAAAATGATAAAATAATTTCATTTACAATAGCAAAATGACAAATATTTAGGAATAAGTTTAACAAAAGAGAGTCAGACTTGTACCCTGAATTTTAAAAAACATTATTTAAAGATATTAATGAAAAGACATCTCATGTCTTTGGATAACTAATATTTCTGCTAATGATCTACAAACTCAGTGCAATCTCTATCAATATTCTAGTGGCTTTTTAAAGATATTTATAAACTGATCCTAAAACTCACATGGAAATTTAAAGAATCCAGAAAAGTTGAAACAGTCATAATTAAAATTTAGAGTTGGATAATTCACTTTTCCTTACTATCAAATTTACTATGAAGCTATAGTAATAAAAACGTTATGGCATAAAGTGTAGGAAAGTCATATAGTAATACAAGCAGTGTGTTATAAGCATATGAAAGTCATATAGATCAAATGGAATAGAGTTGGGAATCCATAAATAAACCTATACATTTATGACTAATTCATATATTAAGAAGGTTTCTAAGACTATTTGATGGGGAAATAAATGATTTCTACAAATAGTGCTAGTAAAACTGAATATCCACATACAAAAGAATCATTACACCCCTTCTTCACACTATGCATATTCACAAAAAAATCTCAAAATGAATCAAACATCAAAATGTGAGAGGTTAAATGATAAACCTCCAGAAGAAAACAGAGGAGTACATATTTGTGATATTACATAAAATAAGTACTTCTTTAACATGACAGCAAAAAATACTAGTAGCAAAAGAAAAATTAATAAACAAATTGTACTTAATTAAAATTAAAAACAGTTTAATTATACCATCACGAAAAAGAAAAGAGAGACCACAAATGGGACAAAATATTGCGAATTATATATCTGATAAGAGAGTAATAGCCAGAATATATACTGAATTCTAAAGACATTAACCCAATTAAAATGATTTGAGTACACATTTGTCTAAAGAAGGTGTACAACGTGCCAATCAGAACTACAATCATTCACCACGTCCCACCCAACAGCGTGGCTCTAATTAAAAACATGAGAAATGAAATGTATTAGCAAAGATGTGAATAAATTGGAGCGCTTATTCATTGATGATGGAAATTTAAAGTGCTTCAGACATTCTGGAAAGTTCATTAGAAAGTTAGAGTTACTCTATGACCCAGGAATGCAACCCTCGGTACACATTTCAGATAATTGAAAACATAAGTCTATTCAAAAAATTGTACCTGCATTCCATAGCAGCACTTGTTATAATAGCCAAAACGCTGTCAAAACACAGATGTCCATCAACTGATGAACTGACTAAACAAAATGGGGTACCTCTACACAATGAAATATGATTTGACCGTAAAATAATGAAATATTCATAAATACAAAAATATAGATAAAGCATAAAAGCACTGCGCTAAAAGAAACCAGACTCAGAAATGATACTAGTTATATTAAATGCCGAGATTGGGTAATTTATAGAGAAAGAAAGTAGATAGGCATAGCATTTGCCGTAATGAGTTATGGCATTTATTTGGGGGGGTGGGTGATAAAAATACGGCGGAATTAGGTAACAGCGATGATTGCACAACCTTTTTGAATAAAATAAAAATCCCTCAATTGTACAATTTGAACAGGCAATTTTTAGGGTAAGTTAAATCGCAATATAAATATTGTAAGAGAAATTGTAAAATATATATATATATAATATACAGAATTTACTTCAAATTAATCTGGTGGTATGATTTGGTGTCATAAAAAGTAAGAGTTAAGATGAAAGAAGTTTAAACTCTTTAAACTAAATGATAGAAATATGCAGCTTGTTGAGGCAGGAGAATGGCATGAACCTGGGAGGTGGAGCTTGCAGTGAGCCCAGTTCGCACCACTGCACTCCAGCCTGGGTTACAGAGCAAGACTCCGACTCAAAAGAACAAAACAAAACAAAACAAAACAAAAAAAATGTGCAGCTTGTTATATTTTCTTTTTGTGTACACGTTTAAATTTTTGCAATTGCCTGCTGGATTTAATATTAAATGCTGGATTATCTCTTAAAAACCTTTATTAAAAATTTAAAACAATTTTTTTTCAATTCCAAAACACCCAGTTTTACATTTATTCTCTCTTCTGTATTATTTACACTCCCTTGACTAATTGCTTTGAATTCTCTAATTTTTCTATAAGCTGTGTATAAATCTGGGAGTTACTAAAAGCTGTGGTACCATGTAAGAGAATAATAAGAGTATAATTTTGTATAGGACTAATAAAATTCAGCAGACCTGATACCACCACCATAATCTGAACAGTTTCAAATAACTATAATAGTTTCAACTCTGTCAATTTCTTTAATCCAAATAGATTGACCAACATTTAAGTAAGAGCTGAAGAAAAAATGTTTAGCTTCCCTAAGAAAAGATAATGTTACATAAAAGTAACCATTATATAGATGAAAATTTCTAAGGCAAACAAATAATCAGATCCTTTATTTGGGGTTCAATAGACAAACATAGGACAATTTGGTAATCTCACAGGGTGGAAGATTTATACCGAATATAAAAACATACATCTAATGAAAGCTGTTCTCCAAATTAAATAGTATCACCTATGTATTAGTAATTCTCTCCTAGTAAATATACACACTCAAAGGCTGCACTATAATTAAGTTTTATACATTAATTAGAAAATTGCACTACACTTGTGCTCTCCAAAGAATTTGTTGCAGGATCTCTTTAAAGCATTATTGAGAACCTCTAAGAGCTTTTAATTATATGGGTGCTAGAGACAACATGTTTATGTTCCCCAAAATTGATATGCTGAAACCTAATACTCAGTGTGATGGTATTAGGAGTTTGGGACTTTGGGAGGTCATTAGGTCCTGAGGGTGGACCTCTCATGAATGAGATAAGTGCCCTTATAAAAGAGCCCCCAGAGACACCTTTTATCCCCTCTGCCATGTGAGGACAGGATGAGAAAACGTTACATCTAAACCAAGAAGTAGTTCTTCACCACGTGCCAACTCTACCCAAGCCCTAATCTTGGATTTCCCCCAGAAAGCTCTACTTACCTGTCACTGGACCATAATTTTAGAACACCGACTAAGACTATTGCCAATATTCATCAGAGACTTTCATTTTAAGATATTTAAAACTTTTAATGTCAAATTTTTATTATCCTCTCTGGTATTTCTCCTTAATTATCCGTGAGTATGACCTATTTTCCATCACTTATCCAACATCTTTCTTAATTATTTTCCTAACTCTAGCTTGCAAATATGCCCAAAAAAACTTTGATTGTACTTAACAATATTACATATAAACCCTTTCATTGGGAATTGGTTGGACAAACAAAGTTGGGAAAAGGAGTTGGGATATTTGTGTATGAAAGGGAGAGAGAGAGATTTTAAGGAGTTGGCTCAAGGGATCGTGGAGTCTGGCAAGTGTGAAATCTGTAGGTCCGACCAGGCAGCTGGAAACACTGACAAGAGTTGAAGTCACAGTCTTGAATCCAAAATCATGGGGCAGCCTGGCAGGCTGCAAACTCAGGCAAGATTTCTATGTTACCTTTTTAAGGCAGAATTCCTTGGTCCCTGGGAAAATTCAGTTTCTGCTCCTAAGACCTTCAAGTGATCAGATGAGGCCCACCTGCCTTATGGAGAATAATCTCTTTTCTTTATGGTTAATTTGTTACAAATATTAATCACATCTGCGAAATACCTCACAGCAGCATCTAGATTAGCATTTGACCAAACAACTGGGAATCATAGGCCTGCTATGTTGACATATAAAATTAACTACCTGTGATAGTTAATACTAAGAATCAACTTGATTGGATTATATAATACAAAGTATTGATCCCAGGTGTGTCTGTGAGAGTGTTACCTAAAGAGATAAACATTTAAGTCAATGGGCTGGGAAAGGCAGATCCACCCTTAATCTGCTGGGCACAATTGAATCAGCTGCCAGCGAATATAAAGCAGACAGAAAAACATGAAAAGGAGAAACTGGCCTGTCCTCCCAGCCTACATATTTCTCCAGTACTGGATGCCTCCTGCCCTCGATCATTGGACTCTGGTACTGGATGCCTCCCACGCTTGATCATTGGAATCAAAGTTCTTCAGTTTTGAGACTCGGACTCTCTTTGCTCCTCAAGCTCGTAGACAGCCTATTTGTGGAATCTTGTGAAAATGTAAGTTAATAAAAAACTCCTACGTATATATATACATATATATATGAGAGAGTTCATATATATATGAGAGTACTTATATATATATATAAAGTTCCCATATATATATATATATATATATATATATGGAGTTCATATATATATATATGTTCTCTAGAGGGACAAAACTAATAGAATATACATATATATATATATCTTGAGAACCCTGATTAATACGCTACCCCATCATCACGATATGTGTGTTTACCAAATTGATGCATCCATGGAAAAATAAAGTTTATTGTGTTTTTGCATTGGCACAAATTCATTTCTCCCTCTCTCCAGTTTTGAATGTTTTCTAATGTTCCATGTGATTTCCATGTTCCAAGGTTTGCAACAGGGAAAGGTGATGCAATTCAGGAAGAAGGAAAAAATCAAGTCTGGTAACCTCCACTTTAAGCAGTTTGTAAAACGCAATGTTAATCATAATGAAAAAAAAAAAAGAGGTGGTCATAAAATAAGATTAGAAAGTCCACATTGTTGGAATTTTTTTTAAGTGTTGATAAAAATACATTGACATTAGCTCTAAGAAGTAATTGAAAGGAATATTTTGAAGTCATGAAAAAAATAATTATTATAATAAAAACTACTTTCTACTGTTAAATTATTTGAATAATCTTGTATACCTTTAAACAATGATTAATTCTTGCCTCTTCTCTAGAAGGTTCTGTATATAAAGATGCCCTAATGTAATTTAAAACTATTGTTTCTATTAAACTTGTTGACTTCATATTTTCTCATTTGTATGCAAATATTATATTTATTTTTTACTTTCTGAGAAATAACAACTTTTCATTAATATGCCTCTAAGGAAGAAAAATCCCAGAGCTAAACCAAAGCAATAATTTAAAACTAAAATAAAATTATAAATTCCAAAAAGCGTTATTTAAAAGTTAGATTTACATGTATACCTGAAGGCCTTTTATTAAAAGAGGCTGAGATAGAATCTCCTGTGATTTAATTTTGAGTCAAATTTTTCTACTTAGAAGATGTGGCTATTCTTACACATACAACCAGTAACACATAAAATAGATATTAAGTTTACATTTGTAACTTAACTTGAATAATAACAAGAAACAAGCTGATTCAGAAAAAGCTGACTAATATGTGCTCAATGTCTAATTAGTTGAGTAGTATGAATTTTGCCCATTTCATTAAATTAGCTGAATAAGTTTGGAGGTCACATACATTGCACTAGTTATGCAGTTCAAATACATTGACAGTCCTTGTAATCCTATTTAAGTATGCACTAACCTGGAAAAAAGAGATGTCATTAAATGCCTGTGTAATCTTAACTAGCCAGATTTTGATGTAAAAAAAGTAATCCTGAATTTTCTATTCTCAGTTTCCTTTCTACAACCTAATAAGTGCAAGCTCAATTGTTTTGGAAACTCCCAGAAATATTTACAATAAAACAGAATTATTATTTTAGGTACCATTTTTACAAATATCATGTAACTAGTAGAAGCAGTTCAAGAAAAAAAGAGGAGTCTTACAAAGAGAAGTGAAGTCACTTACACATTCCAGCTTCAGTGTTATGGATGGTTAGAGAAACCATTGGGTTTAATTAGCAATTCCTCAAATGAAATTCCACAGGAATATTCAAGAAGACTTTAAGTAGCATATAAATGAAAATTTTTAAAAAGGTTCCATTTATATTTTAAAGCGAATTAGAAAATTCAAGAAAATTTCTAATATTTCAACTACAACACTGAACATAAAGTCAATGAGCAAAAAGTATTTTATCCCTATAATGGGAAAACTAAATTCTGCCTTTCATATGTAGATGTTTCATTATAGATATAAAGAGAAAAATTAGCTTTAATCCTTAGTATAAAAATTAATGACCACGAATGAAAAAGATATTGGTCTAACCCCAGCACAAATGTACAAGGGCTTACCTCAGTAGTGGCCTTATATTTAAGACATTTCATCAGGAATCCTACTTTGTGATATCCTAAACGGAATATCGCTTTTCATTCACGACAGAAAGGACAATTGATTTTGCTAAATAAGTGTGCACATCAGTGACTGAAAAGTTATATAGCTGAATCTAGTTTCTAAAAAGCGTAGAAAGAAACAGTAATGTACTAAAATGTTTATGGTGAGTTAAACAATCGCATTGTCCATAATGCAAAAATAAGGTAAAGGAGCTGTTTGCAATGGTCAAGCCTTTAGAAAATATACAATATACATTCCCCATTTGGCAATATTTTATTTACTTCTAAATATATAATAACAATACCCATGTGGCAATGTTTTATTTGCTTAACTCAGTTTGAGGATGGGTTACACTATCAAATGGGAGTTCTTTAACATTGGTTTCTAAGTTGCAATAGAGAGGTCCTTTCTTATTATTATGAAAGTGTAAGCTAAGTGGGCATCTACATCAAGCTTTTCTTACCATCAACAAATACCTGTAACCTATTTACAGACATCAGAAACTATTTTGCCAGAAAATTTCCTTTTAATACAGGAATCAGAAAACTTTTTCTGTTAAAGGTCATATGGTAAATGTTTTATGTTTTGCAGGCCACTTGGTCCGTGTGACAAGTCCTCCATTCTGTCATTGTAGCATGAAAGCAGCCATAGACATTACAAAAAGAATGGATGTGATTGTTATCCTAAAACCTAATTTATAAAAACAAGATGCTTTAGTCTGTTCTCACATGACTATAAAGAAATACCTGACACTGGATAATTTATAAATAAAGAAAAGAGGTTTGGCTCACGTTTCCACAGGCTAGACAGGAAGTGTGAAGTTGGCCTTTGCTTGACGTCGGGAGAGGCCTCAGGAAACGTATAAACATGGCTGAAGGGGAAGGGGAAGCCGAGCAGACACTTCACAGGACTGGAGCAGGAGGAAGACAGATGGGGAGGTGCTGCAGGCTTTTAAACGACCAGCTCTCACAAGAACTAACACACTATCAGGGGAACAACAGCAAGGGGATAGTGCTAAACCGTTCATGAGAAATCCGGCCCAGTGATCCAGTCACCTCCCACCAGGCCCTACCTCCAGCATTGAGTTCTACAACCCAACATGAGATTTGGTGGGGACACAGATTAAAACCAAGACTCTGGTCAAAAGAGGCCTCTTGGCTGGAATTGGACTTTTGGCTATGTTTAACCCACAAATTGTAGCTTGCTGATCCATTTGAATTCAATAGGACATACAAGGTTGAAAATCGTTTGTATGGATATTGTGTTAGCCATGTCATACACAATTCAATTCATCAATAAATATTATTATATTATTTTTCTAATTTTATGTAACCCCTGCATAACCATACTTACTTATCTCTGTAAAATACTACTTGTTTTATTCTAATTGTTTAATTTTGATTTTAAAAATCAGAATAATTTTGAACTTCTAGATGCTTCATTTTGTTACTTACACCTGTGGGGAGGATAAGGGAAGATAATTTCAACCAACAAAACATGTGAATGCATTTAATGAGTTTAATGCCCATTATAGACTACTCAGAGGCACTGAAATAATTAGAACCTAGGTTTATTATCTTAAAGTATAAAACCAGTACCTAAGAAATTGCCTCTTTTCTATTAGGGAGTTGGTTTTGGAAGAGGTGAGCTGTAACCAGTACTGGGCTTAATTATCAGTCTTTCATATGGACAATTACATGAGAATCTATGTTAGCACATTTTCCTCCTAATTATGCATTTTCTTAATGAAAAATGCGCAATAAAATAAACTCCCAAATATAAAATTATTTTAGACTTTTTTTCAAACCAGACAGAATAGTGAATCAATTTCTTCTTCCTGCAAACAGGAAAAAAAAAAATGGTTGGGTACATAATTGATCTGATCACTGGTTAATAGAGTGAAAAATCACATGATAAAAAAATGTTTCACTTACTTTAAGAGAAGAAAGTCTAAAGAGATTGCAATCTCATGCATGTTCTAGGGGAACTTTGTAAAAGGTGAGGCTCTTTATCTTTTTAAAAACAGTTTGCTTTTGCATTCAATTTTAAAATATTACATGTAACACATTATTTATTGTAAGAATTACCTTGAGCTCTTCCAGGGAGGCCAACTTTGAATGCCTCTTTGACCTATATTTGCATATCTGCCTTTATGATCAATGCTAAGACAAATACACATAAATTTCCCTTAGAAAACTTAGTTTACAGCTACGGGGATGAAATAATTAGATCTGCAGGTAAATCTTTTGAGTGCAGTTGAGAGAATATGGAAACATGAACTGACCCTAAAAATGATGAGAAGACCCATGGCCTGCCTTAGTACACAACAGAAGAGAAAGTGTCAAGACTTAAAAATATGGCACTGATTGCTCAATTCCCACCTATCAGTGCCATATTTTTAAGTCTTGACACTTTCTCTTCTGTTGTGTACTAACGGGGACTGTTGTGGGGTGGGGGGAGCGGGGAGGGATAGCATTAGGAGATATACCTAATGTTAAATGACGAGTTAATGGGTGCAGCACACCAACATGGCACATGTATACATATGTAACAAACCTGCACATTGTGCACATGTACCCTAAAACTTAAAGTGTAATAATAATAATAATAAAATGGCATTGATTTAAAATTCAATTTATTTACCATCTATTCGCACTAGGAATACAAAGATGGGTGAGCCACGGATGAACCCCTTAGAAAAGTGGTTTGACTCACACTTCCACAGGCTGTACAGGAAGCATGATGTTGGCCTCTGCTTGACTTCTTGGGACACCTCAGGGGACTTACAATCGTGGCGGAAGTTGAAGGGGAAGCAGAGATGACACTTCACATGGCTGGTGCAGGAGGAATCTATTAAGGGAGATGAATCATTATTGTCATAATATTATAAGGCAGAATGTAATGGATAGGCCAAAGAGAGAGTTTTTGTTACATGGATAAGGGAAAGATAAATTGTCTGTAACTAAGGTGTTCACACAGTAAATACCTTTTGAACTGAGCTGAAATTGGGGTCTATTATGCAGTTTCACGTAGTGACATCTAGAGTGCATCATGCTATGTGTAGCAATTCTGTATAACACATATAATGAGAAGGGAAAAATAACAGTGAAGAACCAGGAATAAAGATGTGTTCCACCATGGGAAAAGGGCAAAACAAACAAAACCAATGATTTTTTAAAAAATAAGACTATTTTGCAGAGTGTACACTAGTTATTTTGAAGAATGTTCCTTAATATGACTCTGTCTTATGTTTTTTCATTATTAAATTTTTGTTATATATGTCTATCCAGAATATCATGAAACTGCCGCTGCATCGTTCTCAGTGCGTTATTTTAAAACATTTGACATCTCATTGTTGGTGATAGTGTTTATCTCCTGGTTAAGGTGGTGTCTGTTAAGATTTTCCATTACAAAATTGTTGTTTTATTCTTTTGCACCAATAAGGATCTGCAGGAAATAATTTGGGACTATGTAAATATCTTATTTTTCATCACATTCTTGATGATTTCAGCAGACATTGATGACTTTTGCAAGCATGTATTGTAACTATTGTAGTTGTCAAATTGTGATGTCCTATTTTCATCATTGCTTCTGCATTTTCAGGCAGAAATTATACTATAAAAAGAAACTTGCCATTCTATGACATTTGTTTATTCATTTTATTTACATCAGTATGAACTCTTGGATTCTGATTTTTATTTATAGGTTATAATCTATCACTGTTGTTATTATTTGCTTGATGTTCAAATACCCCTCAGTTTGGCTAATGGGAGTACTTCAGGCCAACTCCTGTTTTCATTTCACATACCACCCATTCATTCCTTGATCAACTTCTTATTGGCCTGAACTCGTAGAAAATACCAAGATTATGAAGTACAAAGGAAGACTGAAAGGTCTTTCCAGATTAAGTTAAAAACAAATGACAACTGTATACAATGATTAAGATTGTATCCAGATTAAGTTAAAAACAAATGTATACAATGATTAAGATTGTATCCAGATTAAGTAAAAACAAATGACAACATGTGTTCATGAATTGAATTCTATACATGAATTTTTTTCTTTTGCTATCAAATAAATAAGTAAACAATGACATTTGACTATATGTAAAAGAAAGAATACTATATTAATATGAATATCCTGACTTTTAGAATTACATTTTATTGATGCAAGAGAATTTCCGTATTGTTAGGCTGTCAGTATTGACACATTTAGAGATAATGAGATATCATGTCTGTTACTTATTCTGGAATATTTCAACATTTAAGAAAAAGATACATTATTTAAAAAGCAAATGTGGAAAACAATTACGTTTAGTGATTGTGTGTGAAGAGTAGATGGGGATACTCAGTACTATTTTGAAGCTTTTAATTAAGTGTAAAGTTATTTCAAAATAAGGCATTAATAATAATGGTAATAATAAAAACCATAATTTCAGAGGTATAGGCCCTAGGTGAAGCCCCTTTGTGCTCACATAAATACACATCCATATGCAAATATGTTCACTCAGAACAAGAGGATGCACTGTTGGAGACAGAATGGTTTTGTGCTTTAGATTATGACTTTGTGGAGCTCAATCCTCCTTAGAAACAAGAAACATGGTTTTTACTGTTTTATTTATTTAATCAGTTACTTACTTATTTATTAGTTTTGATTTATTTTAGGCTTTGAGAGGGAATAAAATAGTGTCTCAATCCTATTCCTGTTTAGGTAAAAAAGATGAACTGTCTGGATGGTAACAAAAATTTAATGTTTAGCCCAGGGCTATCATAGATAAATTTATTATTTGCTCTCAAACTCAAATTCTGTATAATACATTAAGGTATAATAGTCTTTGTTACTTGTGAGCAGTATAAAGACAAGAGTGAATGATACAGATTCCATTGTAATAATGAGACAATTAACACTCCATGATATAGTGACATGAGGGTAAATATTAAGAAAATAAAAGAACAGATGGAATTAGAATAGGATAAATTTACTTTTAATTTTAAATACTTGAACATCACTCTATTTCTAAACTTCTTACTTTCTAGAACTTAATTATTTCTTAAAGGTTGCATTTTCTGGACACATTTTTTGATATGTGACTTTAACACAGATATTTTGCTAGAAATATCAATTGCTTAGGAACTATGCCATTTTATGGTAACTTTCAAAATGACATTTTCTGAGGCCTAAAATTATTCCACCTTATTAAAAATAAGGCGAGTCTGTTTAACCTATAAAGTTGAAAGCCGTGCATGTAGGTAAATAAGGCAGATCCCACTTAATCTCACCCATTGAACCAGAATGTAATTAATGTCTATTGTTATATTCCATGGTAATTAAGAATTATATTTCTTTTTTATTATACTTTAAGTTCTAGGGTAGATGTGCATTTTAAGCCTGTATATATGTTTTCATGTAAGACATCAAAATCTAAGATATAAGAATCCCTTTCCTGTGATTAGTATTCTAAGCACTTAGAAATCCTATGAATTCAGACATAAAACACTGTTGTATAAATGATTTATACATTTAATTTAGCCTGTGGATGGAACATGTATAGCTTTTATGAAAGTCTCAAATGAAACTATGGTGAATTTGTATATTACACGGTCAATTCATATTTTTATCACAATGAATTCCTCAGAGCACTTCTCTGAAGGGTATCACTATGAGATTACATAGTCTCATAAGCATCAAGCAATTGGGATGGCTTACCTCCCCCAAAATTTATTCATCAGCAAAATAGGTATTCATGCAACCTTCAGACTTGCATGAAATTTAAGATGCACCAAACCTAGAAGCCTCTAAATTTTACAGTTTACAAATGGTGCATCAATGTCAATAAAATTCAAATAGATATGACCTTCTGTTAACTACACCAAGGACATGTGATAATACAAAATGTGCCTATAATGCATAAAAACTTGAATACAACATAAAATTGTACTGGGACATATGCTAGTTCTGGTGACGTATTTTGAGGCAAGTCAATGCAGTTGGATTTGCACTAATGTTGTAGCTGTGAGCCTTCAGATAAACATTAAAAGGGTTTTATTTTATAAATGGGACCAGAGAGATGACTCTTTTATATTTTATATGTCAAAAAAATAATGCAATGGTAACCAGAAATAGGAAACAAAAACTTAAGCTTCCAACAAGAGCAGGAGATTCTATACCACTACACATGAGGAAGAGCTACAGAATGTCTTTGGTAACCAGTAAGATTTCAGAAAGATGACTAAAGTGGATGATTTCAAGAACAAATCTCGGGCCAAGCCAGAAGAGAACAATTCTCCAAACAAGTGGCATAAAATGAGAGGGAAACAAATAAACAAACAAAAAACTGTCTTTAACACAAAAGCGATGACATAAGGGCTAGTGGTGACAGGTCATGGACTCTTTGTTGATAAAACAGAGAAGAAGGGGTAGTGCAGCTGAATGAGGAAATACATAAATTCCTGCAAGTCTATTATTTAGGAAGTTTCTAAGTTGAGAACATCTCTACAATTGGAAAACTCTTGACTTGAAGAAAATAAAGAGGTAAAATAAATCGTTCAAACATATGAGCATTTTCACCTTGAATACTGCCTTCTCTACACATCACATGTTTTCTGCAATAGCTGGTCAGAAAAGAACTCATATCATTAAACGATGAATTATAGTTAAAAATTAACTTGAACAGCACACACAAAAACTAGAAGAACATAAGAAGAAATAAATAGAAAACAAAAATAGTAGATTAAAGAAACTTTCTAAACAAACAAAAGACAGTGTGGCTGAGAGCTGAAATGAGATATACAAAAGCTCAAAGAAAAACTGTCAAGCATCAGGAGGAGAGGACTGTGAACTGGCAGAATTTAAGAAGAAATTACAAGGAAAACTTAAATTATCACACTGTAAATGATGAAAAAGGGAAGTAGGGCCATAAACATTAGAAGCATAGAATATTGGCTTACGAACACCAAGAAAATGAAGTGAAAATGAACAGACTTTTAAAAAAATATTAGAATCAAAAAATATCTATAGACATATTTACATAAATGTAGATACATAGATACATACACAGGCAGACAGAAAGCTAGATACAACTGCAGTATATTTATAATATGGCATGTGAAGGGCCAAAAAGAGCAAATTGAATAGAACAGAATATTTTTTGTTATAATGAAAGTAAAACATCCAAAAGTAAAAGAAACTCGCATCTACAGAGAAAAGGGAACATTGTTTACCAGCATAAATTGCCAAAGGTGTGGGTTTGGAATACTCAAAATTACCTCATATTAAAAATAAATGGACTTTGAAAATAAAAAAAAATCCTTTGAGCTTATAAGTATAAACATCTAATCATGGTTATTGGGAAGAATCAGGATGGCTACAAAATTCTCCATAGAAGCAGAGAGAACTTAAGCTTGAGAATTCCTCTCAAAGACATTACTAGACGAAGGGCTGACCAAGTGATAAAAGCAGATAAGTAGATATTACAGAAAAAAAAGCCCCTTTGAGAACTGATTTTATTTCATTGTGGGAGTATGATGGAAAACAAATGTCAAGAATTGTTACAAAGAAGATAATGTAATTGAACACCTACGGATCAAATTATATATAATAAAATTTCATGTGTGTGCATGGCAAAACACACGTTTTTGTATACAACAAGAAAAAAAACACTTCAATTCATCTCTATAAGGATTTAAGCAAACACACTATGCCATCAGGCTTTGTAGTTCTGATTTTCACTGGTAAATTGGCAACAATAGTTGTCAAAGTTATACATGCACATGTGAAGTTGACTGGATTGGTATATCTTACATAGCATAACATTGCAATATCTTATCAGCAGTTTTTATCTTTGCCATTATGACAGATGAAAAATGGCATCTGTCAATTAAATTTATACATTACTTATGATGAATAAGTTTAAACAAATTTTAATATTTTCTGTGTCCTCTTTGGTGAACTTCCTATGTAAATTGTTTACTAATTTCCATTTTAGATTTGGCAAGGTCCTAGTTATTAACTTGTGTGATATCCTTATGTAACAGATACTTTACCTTCAGGCAATAATATATTTTAAACATATTTCATGTATCATTTCACTGGTACTAAAATGATTTTCTTATAGACAAATAAATGAAACAAATATTTTGTGATTCCTGCATTCTGATATACAGATTATTTTGTTACAATTAAACATAACAGTGAAATCTTTCTCTATTTTTTTGGTTTTTAGGTTTTAGACTCCATTTCAAAAAAATAAAAATAAAATAAATAAATAAATAAATACTGTTGTGGGTGGCAAGAATGTTCTAAATCGTGATTTAGTCAGTGATTGCATAATTATATATAAACAATTGGACAATGCACTAAGACTACCATATTTTATGGACTGTATTTGCACCTCGATTTTAAAAATGTCTGCGATGTGCAAAAATTAAATAATTGTTGAAAGGTATTGCTTCTGGCCAGAATCTGTTTGTGATCTTTCTGACCTAGATCATAGGCATATACGAAGGCTTTACCTGAAGGTTCTTTCTCAGGACAGCTGCCTTTCCTAGACAAGACTTCCTGCACAGCCAGTCCTTTGCATCTCTGATAGTCAAGGAGCTTGCTAGGCAGGTCTGACTAGAGATTCAACAAAGGGGCTCTAACAAAACCTGGAACACAATTTCCTAGCTGCTACTGTTGTCCAGTGATGGGACCAAAACTCACTGGAGACCCCACTTGCTGAGTTGTGCCCAGCAACTATGATTGGCTCTAGTAGGTCCCTGTCACCACAGACAGCCCCAAGTGAGTTATTAAGACTTGTACTTTTAATAAAAGATAATGTAGACTACTTCAGAATCTCCTTGTCCAATGACCTGAAAAGACCTTAGAAACTTGGTTAATTGATCCTCAGGATGAAGGAGATGATCTTGTCAAACTTAGTGAAGGAGAATGGTGTCTTGTTTGGTGTGTCACTACAGTATCTGACAGTAAGCCTTGACAGTGGGGTTAGAAGAAAGAATAAAAGGAAGATGAGAAAGTACAAGAAGAAAGGGTCTTTTGATTTATGATTGCATGACTCCTCAGATTCTTTACATAAACCAGGTTTTTCTCTGCTCTTATATGCAATGTTTGTATTTATTTTTATTTTTTATTTTTTGCTTTTTCAAGTTTCGGTTTATTTCAGAGGCTTATTTTTCTTATTTATATTTTTATGAGCAATTTTATCAATCTGGACCTATTTTCTGCTTAAACTTGTGGAAGAATTAGTTTTGTTCCAATCTGTATTCACATATGCATAAAGAGAAAACCTCTAGGATCTTATTTGTAGGATTAACTTTTGTGCATAAAGATAAACCACCTTTACAGAGATGTGAATTCTATAATTAAATGTGTTGCTAGCCTTGAAAAAATTTCCAAGTCTCATGCTCATTTCATGTTATTATGAAGAGGGAACTATGGTCATTGACATTCTGAGAGTTTATGGTTGTCTTGTGAGCCTAACGTAGGTGGGTAAATCTACATTGTCAGCTTCAGCCTCTCCCTACCATTCCCCCTAGGATATACGTTCAGTAGTGTTGTTAGAAGTTATAGTTGCAGAGCATGTGCATAATTACAAATAAAATTAAAAAATTAAAAATACAAAAGCACAGGTAACAAGAAAAAAATAGATAAATGGAACTATGTTAAACTCAAAAAACCTTCTGCACAGGAAAAGAAATAATCAATAGGGTAAAGAGACAACCTGAGGAATGGAAGAAAATGTTTGCAAATTATTCATCTGACAAGGGACTAACATCCGGAATATATAAGAAACCCAAAGAACTCAGCACAAAGAAAACCAAATAATCCAAATATAAACTAGGAAAAAGATCTAGACAGACATTTCTCAAAAGAAGACATACAAAGGGACAACAAGCATGTGTGTGTGTGTGTGTGTGTGTGTGTGTGTGTATATATATACTTTTTTTTTTCTCTTTGAGAGGGAGTCTCACTCTGTAACCCAGGCTGGAGTGCAGTGGCATGATTTTGGCTCGCTGCAACCTTCACCTCCCAGGTTCAAGCGATTTCCTGCCTCAGCCTACTGAGTAGCTGGGATTAAAGGCACCCACCACCACACTCAGCTAAATTTTGTATTTTTAGTAGAGGTAGTGTTTCACCATGTTGGCCAGACTGGTCTCAAACTCCTGACCTCAAGTGATCCACCCACCTCAGCCTCCCAAAGCGCTGGGATTACGGGTGTGAGCCACCGTGCCCAGCCCCAACAAGTCTATTTTAAAATTGCCAACAACACTAATCATCAGGGAAATGTAAACCAAACCAGGATATCACTCTAGTTAGAATGGCAATTACCAAAAAGACAAAAGATAAAAGCTGGCACGGTTGTGAAGAAAAGGGAACTCTTACACACTGTTGGTGAGAATGTGAACTAGTACAACCATTATGGAGAACGGTATAAAGGTTTCTCAAAAAAAGTAAAAATGGTACTACCATATGATCCAGGAATTCACTACTGGGTATTTATTCAAAGCAAAGGAAATTCATATATAAAAGGGATATCTGCACTCTTATGTTTATTACAGCACTATTTACAATATCCAAAATACGGAATAACAAAATGTCTGTCAACAGATGAATGGATAAATAAAATGCAGTACATATGTATAAAGAATGATTATTAAGCCATAAAAAGCAAAGAAATTTTACACTTGCAACAACATGGGGGGGACTGGAAGTCATTATGTTAAATGAAATGAGCCAGGCCCAGAAAGACAAATATCACCTGTTCTCACTCATGTGAGAGCTAAAGAATTTGGTCTCATGGACGTAGAGAGTCGAGTGATGGTTACCAGAAGGTGGGAAGGGTGTGTGATTGGGCGCGGGGATGAAGAGAAACTTGTTAATGGGTACAAACAGGCAGGTACATAGAAAGTATAAGTTCTAGTGTTCGGTAGCACCGTAATGTGACTATAGTTAACAATAATTTATTTTATATTTTAAAATAGCTAGAAGAGAAGGTTTGAAATGTTCCCAGCACACACACAAAAAAAATGGTAAATATTTGAGGCGATAGATAGACTAAATGCCCTAATTTGTTCATTACACATTCTATTCATGTATCAAAATATCACATATACCGTGTAAATGTATACAATTACTATGTGCCAGCAAAAAATACAAAATACTCTAATTGTGTCCTAGATGAAATATTTCAGTGTTCTTGTATTTACCAGGCCTTTGTCTTTCTAACTCTTGGCTTTTCCTTGTGCCCAAGTAGTGTAAAATATTTGGCAGGGGAGGGTGGCGGGGAAGTACTGATTAACTGACCACTATTCTAAACATCAGTGGTATAAAAATTCATTTTTGTTGTTGTTGTTCCAAGACAGAGTCTCGCTTTCTCACCCAAGCTGCAGTGCAGTGGCGTGATCTTGGCTCACTGCAACTTCCGCCTCCCGGGTTCAAGTAATTCTTCCTGCCTCTGCCTTCTGAATAGCTGGGATTACAGGCACCTGCTACCACGTCTGGCTAATTTTTGTATTTTTTAGTAGAGACGAGGTTTCGCCATGTTGGCCAGGCTGTTCTTGAACTCCGGAACTCAAGTGATCCACCTGCCTCTGCTTCCCAAAGTGCTGGGATTACAGGCATGAGCCACGGTACCCAGCCAAAAATTCAATTTTTTAACACTGTTATGGGCTAGGTGCAGTGGCTCATTCCTGGAATCCCAGCACTTTGGGAGGTCGAGGCAGGCAGATCACCTCAGATCAGGAGTTCAAAACCAGCCTGGCCAACATGGCTAATCCCTGTCTCTGCAAAAATACAAAACTTAGCTGGGCATGGGAGCACACTTGCAGTCTCAGCTACTCGGGAGGCTGAGGCAGGAGTATCTCTGAACCTGGAAGGTGGAGGTTGCAATGAGCCAAGATCATGACACTGCACTCCAGCCTGGGCAATAGAGAGAGAATTCGTCTCAAAACAAACAACAACAACAACAAAAACAAAACCCTATTATGAAATGATAAATGAGAAGAGATGAACAGCATTGGCAAGTTTTACACGATAATCTAAAATTGAAGTTTAATATTTCAAATATACTTAGCAGAAAATATTACATCTTTCAAGGTGTTTGTGTGTATAATTTGTATTCATATGCATGCATAGGCATTAGTTCACACAGGTATTAGTGCTTACAGTATTGTTGACACCCTTCAACACTGTTAAGCTAAATTATCTCATTTTTAACTACATGCTTTAATCTGGGAACACTATATTCTGTTTGCAAATTGTTCATTTATTTTATTAAATTACAGTTGCTGTTGTAAACTATCATCATCTATAAATCCATAATTTATGCTCTCCAAATTTGGACATATTCACTGGAGTGGATGGAAATTTTTATTCTCTTTTTAAGTTACCTATTTTTAACATAATAATAGTATTACTACCATATAATTCATATTATAAAATAACAACTACACTTATAATTTTTGCAAAATGTCAAAACTGTTACTGAAAATTTTATCCAATGCTAATAAGCACAGAAAAAAATAATAAAGGATCACACATATCATTTTTCAACTACATACATCATTATTTTTAGGTAAAAGTGATTCCAGATAGTTATCCAAGCATGATGAGTAAAAAAGCATACATACTTTTATAAAAATGGATTGCATTCTGCATATGATCTAATTAAAATATACAATAGTATTATTTTTTACATGAAATATCAGAAAACATGAAATTAAGGTATAGCTGAAAACATTCAAAGTTTGAAAAACTGTATTTTACACAATATATATCTTCAAAAACTGTAAGATTATACAAACATTATGGAAGACATTAACAGGTGGAACACATATTTTTTAACTACATATTTTCTTAAACAATTTTTACTGAATATTTTCAATAAAGGATAGGCCATTGGCTCTCTCTCTTCCATTCTAATACATGTACTTGAAATATAGACCACTATTTTAATCTGTTAAAGTTTGTTACTTTATAATTTATCTAACTGTTACACACTAAATATAAAAATATTTGTTCTATATTTGAATGGACCTGTTTTTGTGTTTATGATTTCTCTACTTTGGAAAGTATATGCGCTGATTAACTTCTTAATTGGATACAAGTAATCCTCAATAACACTTGCTCCAAGAATTGGAATTTTATAGTTTACAATGGTTTCTTATCTGAAAACAATTGCATCTTTTGGTTTATACTTTTTTCTTTGAATTTTGTAATCTTAGCATTGAATGTTACTGCAGAGAAGTCTAATGCCAATCTAAAACCTCCAACTTTGTAAGTGACTTGCCCTCTGCTCCATTATCTGAAGTATTCTTTCCATATTTTTGAAGATTTACAGGGCACCTGCATGTTACCTAAAACTCAAAGTGCTCTAGAACACAAATAGTATCTTCTTTTTTTCTGGTAAATCTTAGTTTTATTGTTGTGTTAGTGATTTTTTGTTATTTTTAGTTGTTGAGGTTTATTCCTCAAGAAGATTAATCATCTTTATTTCTTAATACATCTCTATCTCACTTTTTCTTCTTTTCAAAAAAATAATTGTGATCCCCCATAGTTATCTCAAACCTTGTTCCTATGTTACTAACCCTCTGTCCTTTGGTGTTACTAACTTTTTTATGAGTTCAGTTATGGTCTTTTCACTCTTAATATTTTTTTCTTAAATTTCCTATTTCTCATGTCATTTATTTGGGCTCTGACCTTGTTGACTTAATGAGCTTCATAAGCTCATTAAGCTGCTTTATTCCTCAAAGCAGTTGATCAAACTTCTTTCTGTTTGTTGGGTAAAGCTTATTTCTAGCTTGGGTCCTTTATCTCTTTGATGCTATACTTCTCTAGATGTTAATTTGTTAATGTACTATTGAGCAGCACAAAAATAAGTTTTCACTTTTCTAAGACCTTAAATAGGTTCATAGCATACCAGCATGTTTAATGCATTTGAATTTTTTCTGTATATGCAATGCCGCAATATTTACTCACTGTTTACCATAGATTAAAAACTTCACAGAGTAACACTTTAACGCCATAGACATTTAAGAAATGAAACACTAAAATAACTGTAGTTTATCCATTTTTAAGCAAAATATATTCAAGTTTATTTGTGCTTGTTAATAATAGACATATATATATTAAATTCACATTTTAGTAAATTAAGTCAAATAATTACTTATTAATTATCCTAAAGAGGCCCACAAGGTATATTACAGCTTTGAATCCAATAGGAATTTAATATATCTTTATCCCCTTAGAGTACTATTATTCAAATAATATTCGACAAAGGATTATGTGCTTTAAAACATCACTAATATTAATTAAAGAAGGAACTCAAGACACTGACTACAGTATGGAAATACAAATGGTTGTTTAAGTAATGTGATACTATAGATTATATATATTTAATATTTTCAAGTATAGCAATAATTAGAGCTGAACATAAATTATATTAGAATATATAGATTAAAATGAACTTTTTAAATAAAATACATGCCTACTGATAATAATGATGATGATAATAATGGAAATTCTCTTTAAACTAGGAACCAGCAAGTCCCTGAAACATACAGAATTTATCTGACAGCATTTTGGTGGAGTTTTCTAAGGTGAGGTAATTCTATATAGCCTCCAATACCCAATCAAGTATTAGCTTATAAGTCCTTTGGCTTGGCTCCCCAGTAGTAAGGCAGTCTTACATTTTGTCAAGGTAGGAAACATTGCTATTCCAATATGATTGGGATGCTCTAATCCAAGTTTGTCCAACCTGCGGCCCACAGGATGCATGCGGACCAGGACGGCTTTGAATGTGGCCCGACACAAATTCGTATACTTTCTTAAAACACTATGGGATTTTTTTGTGATTTTTGTTTGTTTTTAGCTCATCAGCTATCATTAGTGTTAGTGTATTTTATGCATGGCCCAAGATAATGCTTCTTCTTCCAATGGGGCCCAGGCAAGCCAAAAGATTGGACACCCCCGAAAATATCTGGTAATCTTGATTTGGAGAAATCTTACATTTCTACAGGCATATGACAGAAAAAGTAATTTGGTTTAAGGTTTTGGGTTTGGGGAACTTTTTGTATTTTATATTTCTTTCTTCTGTCTCTTTTTGCCCTTTACATTCTTTATTTATAAGCTATTGGTTTAATAATTTATTTTATGATTCTAATTTGATAAGATTTTAGCTATATGACAAATTGCCTCCCACATATGACAAATATTTTTCCTTAGTATGAGAGCAGTCCTTATTCAAATAGGAATTGGAAACAGGACAACACTTACAAAACCATGGACTTCAAAACCTTTTTGGGTTTAGTTTATAAACTCTGCAGTGATGCCAGAAGACAGAGGAAACTTCTTTCTCAAGGCCACAGAGGCAATGTTGACAGTTCTAATTAACAGAATGTAAATCCCTCACTACATTCTTTACTATTTCCCCTCTCCCAAGCTCACCCTATAATCATGGCCCTTTCATGGCATCAGAGAACTATACCAATGGTTAAAGAAGGGGAAAGAGAGGAAACTTTCTGCCTGGCCCCGTTAACATTACTGTTGGTCCTTCTTGACTTTTAAAGATGTATACAGTACTAACTTTACTTTCTTGCTTATTCAATAATTGCTGTTTTGTCTCTAACAGGCTTCTACTTGATTTCCCATGATTTCAGCAGTGAGATGCTAATCATGCTTTCCAAAACTTCTTTGACATCTATCACACTAAAATCTCAGGGTTACTCTTTGCAATAAACTAGAGTACAAAGGTTTCGGTATCTTTTAGTTTAGAGATGGAGTTTTTTTTTTTTTTTTTTTTTTTTTTTTGAGACGGAGTCCTGCTCTGTCGCCCAGGCTGGAGTGCAGTGGCGCGATCTCAGCTCACTACAACCTCCACTTTCTGAGTTCAAGCAATTCTCTTGCCTCAGCCTCCCAAATAACTGGGACAACAGGCACCACCCCCCACCCAACATCATGCCTGACTAATTTTTGTATTTTCAGTAGAGACAGGGATTCACCATGTTGGCCAGGTTGGTCTTGAACTCCCGACCTTGGATGATCTGCCTGCCTTGGCCTCCCAAAGTGCTGGGATTACAAGTGTGAGCCACTGCTCCCAGCCTAGAGATGGAGATTTAAAAATGAAATTAAAATCTCTAATTGCTTTAAACTTTTTAAAGAGGAAAAGGGGAAATTTTGAAATAAATGTAGTTTACCCAGCTTATCAGCTTCTAATTTGTTAACATTGCTCTCATCAGCATGTATTCAGAAAATTATGAGTTGTCTAATTCGGAGTAAAAATGATTGACTCATTTGTACCCTTTGGACCTCTTGAAAGACATAAGTGGAAGAAGGAAAGTGTGATATTATTTTAAAGAATCCTATGAAAAGATCCCCCATTTATTCATCCAGTGTAAGTAAGTCAAGCTTGTACAGCCAATGAATTTGATAAAGTAAAGGGATAATGGTCTGGTGTTGAAGTTGCTGGGAACAAATTTTGTTTTACATTAATTTAACTTATTAATGATACTTTTTGTTTTCAACTGTCTTCTCTTGCAGAATATTTTAGGAATCCAAAGTTGTAGAAATAGGCTAACGTAGTCAATGGACTAGGCAACCTCACATAGTAACGTACCACAAAATGACAACCTGAATTTTGAAATAAATACTAAGCCACTTTAAGTTCTATAATTTAATAACAAAGTATGCAATTATCAAATAAACTGTACTTTTAATTGATGAAGTGAACATTCAGTAGCTCTCAGTTTTCTCTCTTCTGCTTCTGCTAGGCTGGTCCTGGGGTTAACTAGGACTTGCTTTTCAATTCCGTCTTACTGTTTTCCTTGTCAAAAAGAAAAAAGAGCAAAAACAAAACAAAAATCAAAGCCAAAAATAATAGGCCACTTCCCTTCCACATCTAAGGTGAATGTTCAGTTAGTTACTGGAAGTTCTAGAACCTTATGTCCAGCTTCCTACTTACAGATCCTCTTGGGATTCTCACAGACATCTCCAATTTAGCAGGACAATTCCTCAATATCCACTCTTTCCCCCTTATCCTTATTTCATCTCCAATTTACTCCCATCTTATAATTGTACTACCATTCTTGTTAAAGGAAGAAACTTCAAAATCAGTTTGCTTATCCTTAACTCACTCTCACCTGAGATTTAAAAGTAAACCTTGACAAGTTAGTGTTAAAAGTATACTCCCAAGCTTTTGTTTCTCCTTCATCTCGGCCCCCCTTATTTATTTCCTGGACCTCTGTGATAGTCCCCCAAATCATGCATCAGGCTCTGGGGTCAGGTAGCCTTGCTGAGCTGCAGTTCTGCCTCTGTGGGATGGGAATACTAAGGTTACATATTGACTAGCATTACAGAAAATGTAAGAAAGTAAAGAGCCAACTAAAAAATAGTTCAGACTTTGTGGATCAAGAGGCAAAAAGAAGGATATTGCAGAGCTACTTTGATAATAAGAGGACACAAATGCCTGCCCACCTTTCAGACCTACGATGGTTGATCCAGGTCAGTGTCATGGAGTGTCCCCAGTTGCCCTCAGCTGGAGACCTTCTGAGTTGCTAGAATCACAGTTCTGCTGCAGGAGGATCTAACTGTCCTCTTCAATCTCTGCACAGTGACACACTCATTTTGGTGGCCTCCAGGAGAGCCCAGCCAGCCTTCCTGACTTGGCTGTTGGCCCTAGGTGCTAGGGATAGAGAGAGAACAGGGGCAGAGGGGTATGCCAGGCTGGGTCTCCGTGGCCACCACTGCCATCTTCCAGGGTTGTAACCAGGGATTATACAGACACACATAGTGGGCAGGATTTGACTGGTGGACTGTTTGCAGACCCTTGAGATATTATGGTATATAACAGATTTAGGATAGTATATGACACAGTAAGCTCTCAATAAACAACTATAACTGTTATTAATCATAATAACACCACCTTAAAACCACTCAGGCTTTACCATTGGACTTGGAATAATTGCTAAATGCCTAACATGACCTACGAAGATCTTCATGATTGAGTTTTTGTTCTGTTCCTAACCACATATTCTGCCACTTCTCCTTGCCCGTGACAGGTAATGGAATGATATTCAATCAGACCAGGTCCCATGTTGGACTTTCCTCCTCTCTATACCTGGGTAAATATTATTCCTCATTAATCCACTTAAAGCTCAGCTCATTAGTGAGGTCTTCCACTTTTCCTTACCAAGAAATAGGTCCTACCTGTTATCATTTATTTTAGAACTTGTTTGTTTCCTTCTTGGTTTTTAAAACAATTACAATTACTTCATCGAAGTGATTTTCTTTTTCCTTGCTTGTCTCTTCTTCTGGGTTTCAGGCTCCACGAGAAGAGGATTCATATGTGTGATATTTATCTTTATATTCCCATAGCCTATAACAATGACAAGCATAGAATGGTGATAAGTAAATATTTCTGGGTTGTAAATAAAGAAAAAAGTGAACTATATCTGGCTAAGTGAACCATATTCCCTAGTTCTTTGCCTGCAATGAAAAAAAAAAAAAACTTGGATCATTTTCCCTAATTTAACCATTATTTGCAACATTTGTTAAACAATGTTGAATAAACAGATAAGCATATATTTTAAATTCTTATAAGGGGACTCATATCTGGGAAGTAATTATCATACAACCTCTTGTTTTCCCATGGTTTGTAAATAATGTATTATTTGTAAAATATATTATTAGATTTTCAGTGTTTAAAAATGCATTGATAGGTTCTTGAATAACAGAATAAACTTTATAGATGAAGAGGGATACACAGAACTATTTAATTTTAAAAATTGCTACTCTTTATAACATTACTAAATTATTGTAAACATTTTCATCAGGCTTCCCATTAAAAATAATTTTCACGAACAATAAAGCAAAACTTAAATATATAAAAATTGGTACCAGATGCAGTGGCTGATGCTTGTAATTCTAGCACTTTGGGAGGCTGAAGCAGAAAGTGAACTTGAGGACAGGAGTTTGAGATCAGCCTAGACAACACAGGGAGGCCTCATCTCTACCAAAAAAATATATTTCTTTAATTAGCTGAGTTTTGTGGTGATACCTGTAGTCCTAGATACTTGGAAGGCTGCAGCAGGAGGATCACTTGAGTTCAGGAATTCAAGTGAGCTATGATCATTCTACTGTACTCCAGCCTGGGTGACAGAGTGACTCCTTGTCTCTAAAATACATAAATAAAAGAAAATATTTAAAAAATTAATTTTCCATTAAATATTTAAATAATTAAAATTTTTAAAATTGCTTTAATAAGCATCAAAATGAAATCACAAATGTAATTAATCAAATTACATTGAATGTTTTAGTCATTCTAAACTGACAAAAATCTTCAACTTCTTATGAAAATTGATTACAAAGTCAGTTATTACACTATTATAAAAACTAGGTGTCAGAATTTTGCTGCTCCATTTTTAAATGAGTGGTTTTCATTTACTGTTTTCCTGTTGCTTTATTTGCCCTGGATTAACACCACATAATTGTTGTAATTTATTCTGATACACTTTGAAACATTTCCTGTGTTTGGAACAACTTACAAAATGCCAAGAAGGAAAAAAAAATCCACCTAAGACTAGAGAAAATTGGGAGAGGTGTGTGGGTGATTTATTGATTCTAGAGTTGAACACAATATCTAGCTGTATAGTCCAGGGAAATCCAAATCCATGCCAGTGTGTGATGATTCATCTGTGCCTTTTTCTGTGCCTTTTTCTTTCCTTTTTAACAGTTAAGGTTCTCTTATTATAATATGGGGCTTTAATACTTTGTCTTTCATAGGACTTTAATTTGATTTATCCATATTGTTTATCTCAGAAGTCATGTGTATTTCAAACTTCATATGGTCAGCATTATTTAACAAAATGTCCTGAATTATGATGCATGATGACTTGGTATGTTAAGGTTATTGAAATCCCACAAAAATCAAAAATATGATAATAAGTTGCATTACATAGACTTTTTATCTACCGAGAGATGAAACGTTGACTCTGCTCACTTAGCCTTTAGGGATGAACGGTTAATTTGTTGTCTTAAAACACACTTTTGGCTTGGTTTTGAGGGCTTTACCTATGAAAGATAAGTTAGCTCATAAAAAATGTTGTGATTTTACTGACTTTAACTTTTGGGAAGCAAATGTTCACCAGTGTACTGGATTGAATACTACCTTAGAGAAGGCTGAGATCTGCCTAATTTTGTTGTTATTGTTTTACTTGACTTGCTGTCCTTTGTTGGACCCTAGTAGAATTAGTTCTTAATCTTTGAAAGTCAGTAGCTCACTGGAAAATCTGTTGATGTTGATAATTTTGCATAAGTTTGTCAAAAATATAGTATAATCTTCTCTCTGTGGTTTCCTTTGTTCCTTCATTCCTATAATATTTTATGCCTATAAACATGAACGCTGTTTTATGATTTTGGTTTTTAAAACTGTTATTTGTGCTTTCAAATGCTGTTTTCATATTTTGGTACTCTCATTCCTAACATATTTAAACACTCTTCATATAATCCTGCATTCTGTTATTCTCTTAAACATCTTCAGCATATCCATATATTTATCCTAAGGTTGTCAACATTTTTCTCTTGACATTGCTCTTTTAGTCAATTGTGTAATAATACTACTTTAGTTCTTAATGTTTTTCTTAACTCTGAATTTTAATCTTTCATCTAATTGTGGTTTTTTATCATCTGATATTT
This sequence comes from Homo sapiens, assembly GCF_000001405.40. Taxonomy (NCBI): domain Eukaryota; kingdom Metazoa; phylum Chordata; class Mammalia; order Primates; family Hominidae; genus Homo; species Homo sapiens. The sequence continues at coordinate 24,935,901 of NC_000005.10, read as the reverse complement.
GACTTCTAATTTATTTTGTATTCTACATAATTCCTTTATGAGCCGTGTATTTGTAAGAATAATTTTTGCTGTGTTTGTGGGTATATTTTTTCCACAGGGAATATGTACTCTCTCTCTCTTTCTCTCTCTCTCCATGTGTGTGTGTGTGTATATATATATATATATATACACACACGTATAGTTATATATATATATAGTACATGTGTGCATGCAAACACACAGACACATGTACAAAAAGTGCACACACACATACAGACACATGCACTTATTGTATTCTTTCTTTTTTCTAATTTTTCACAATCTTAAATATTACTTCTATAATATTTATGTTTTAAGAAAAATCTATGTAAACTTCTTTGTGTTCAGACGCCATATGAATACATTTCTTCTTATTTTCTGTCCATTTCAGTTAAAATCTGTCTTAGCTCCAAAGTTTTATTTCAAAGATGATATTAAACTGAATCTATAGGCAGTAGCATTTGATAGTTAGAGGCTAAACTTATTTTCTGTGTGCACATAAGTTTTGTTTGCATTTACTTGCCTTTTTTCCAAAAAGTATAAGTAGGATTAGCTCCTTGATTTTTAGAACTTTCTTTTTTATTTCCCTGCATACCTCTTCTCAAAAATTTCAGTGCTTCCTTTGTTTCTTCTTTTTATTAAAACTTAATGTTACATTTATTTTCATTTTGAATAAATGAAATTACTAATTTTAATTTCAGCTAAAGAATTTGTAGTCTGTCTTCACTCATATTTTTTCCAACAACACATGTCTTCTTGTTATGTTATTCTCAAGTTATGTAGTTCAATGTAGTTAAAATTAACCCAAAGGAAAACATACATATGAATAAGATTATTTTGAAGAATTTGAAAAGGCAGAACATCAAAATCCAGTTTTACAGGAAATAGCAACTTTTCCACATCTTTCTCCTTCAACTGATACCTACAACATTTTTAAGAACATCTTTACAAGTAGCCATTAAGACTATTTGGGGATTTCTGGTTATAGAGAAGCCCAGTTGCATTGTTTTACAACAGAGTTGTCCAAATTTTGACTTCCCTGGGACACATTGGAAGACAAAGACTTGTCTTGGGCCACACATAAAATACACTAATGCTAATGATAGCCAATGAATTAAAAAAATTGCCAAAAATCTCATATTGTTTTAAAAAGTTTACAAATTTGTGTTGGGCTGCATTCAAAGATGCCCTCAGCTGCATGCTACCCATGGGCCACAGGTTGGACAAGTTTGTTTTACCAGTAGCAGCTTAATACTTTTAGAAACTATTAGAATTGCTTTTGAATATTGAATGAATGATAGTCTTCCTCTCATAACTATAAGTCTTAGAACTTTCTCTGAACACATAGATTGATTCCTAGCTTACAGAAAATGAAATTTCAAAAAATTAAAAGTTTGCTTAGCATAATTATGAAAGTTATGTTTAAATATTGTAAAATCTTCCTGTCATTTATATGGATGAGTTTTGCTTGGTAAGTACCTTGAAATAAAGCAAAGGCAACTGATCACATACTGAATTATTGGGCTGACCAACATAGAATGAGAAAATCTTCCTTTATACATTATCACAAAATTAGAAAATAAAAATCATCCTCATTGGGTAGAGAGAGAGAGACAGAGATCAAGCCAGGAAATCATAAAATATAATGAAAGTTTCTAATAGCGGCTCCTCCCCCAATTATAATACATACCAATTTCTCATATACAACAAAGGGAGACAATTTTATGCCAACTAGATAATAACATAATATCAATTTTAACATATATTCCAATGTCAGAGATGTGAAAATATTGAACAGTGTGTAAGAGTTGACAAAATGTGGTATTTTAAAATGTAATACGCCTCTATAATTTACTTCTTTTTCCTTTGGTGTGCTTACTTAACTGTTGTGCTACAGAGAGCTGAACCTATTTTCTGAATAATCTCATACTGTCAATGAAATTTAAGAGGTATTCACTCAGTATGCATGTAGCAAAAGGAAAAAAGGATTAATTTTGATGGAGGTGGGCAGGTAGGGTCAAAAAAAGGTTTTAAAAATAGAAAATATTTAACTTGAAAGATAGTAATAAAATGTCATTCTAAGGCTGAAGGAACTTGGGCAAAGTTCAGGGAGATACGAACAAATTGGTGCACTCAGAAGAACACAGATCATTTAATATTCCTGCAGCAGGAACACAAAGTGGAATGGGGAGAAAAAGAGATTGTCGAATAACAGATTGAATGATAAATTCCCCCAACAAATGACAAAGCTTAAGGGTTCAGAAATGTCATATTTTTTGTCTTAAAAACATTGAGTGAAAAAGAAAGTGTCGAATAGTCAACACTTTTATTTATACTACTCTTCAAAAATGTGTACTAATAAGAGTATAGAAATTGGTTTTCCCAATGGAAAAAAAAAACTGGAATAGATGTATCTTTTGGATTAACTATTATGGAAAACATTAATAACTAACCAATTAAATTAAAATAATTTGTTTCAAGTGAAATTGATTTCTTCTCTTTGCTTCTGTAAGAAGTCTAATTAATATAAAATTTGCATTAGAGTGGACAATTTAGAATAAATACTAATTAAAGTAGGAAAGTACAAGTATCTACATAGAAGGTATGAGATGTGAAGATTAGTATCAATACAACACATTGCTAATAGGATATATGTTTTATTTGTGTTACTAGTGGAAAGTATTTTTTCTATTTATTTATAAAAATTATTTTTAATTTATTTAATTCAGTCAAAAATTATATAGTTGTAGCCTAATAATAAAATATATATCTAAACACAATGAACATTTAATTGATTTAGAAAGAGCATATTTGAGTTTAAGATTCCACACTTCTGATGTTATGTTCTAGAAAGGTATTATAGTATGGATAAACATTATAAGTGAAAGGAAAAAAATTAAAATGTAAACCCGAGTCATAGAAACAAACAATTAAGTAATTATGATATTTTGAGCAAGTTGTGTGAGCTATAGCTAATTGAAACACAGTGTATTAGTAATGGTTCCACCAAGAAACTGGGAATTCAAGCTGGGTAATTAGAAGAGAGGTTTATAAAGTTGCTTTTTATAGAGGTTTGGGTTGTATTTAAGAGTACCCAAGGAATAACGTATTGCCAGAACTAGTAACCAGAAGAAACTATTCACTTTCCTAATCCTGCAGGATGAAAGGAAGAGCTCAATAGTGTAAATCTGCAGAAAATAAACTGAGAGGATGGAGAATAGTCTAAGGCAGTCGGTGATAATTCCACGCTTCTAAGGAATCCAGCAAAGCAGTCATGCAGCTCATAACGATGCCTCAGTCAATGACCTACTGCATATACGATGGTGGTCACACAAGATTATAATAAAGCAAAAAAATTTCTACCACCTACTTACTTCTTTTTTTTTTTTTTTTTTTTTTTGAGGCAGAGTCTCACTCTGTCGCCCAGGCTGGAGTGCAGTGGCGTGATCTCGGCTCACTGCAAGCTCCGCCTCCTGGGTTCATGCCATTCTCCTGCCTCAGCCTCCCGAGCAGCTGGGACTACAGGCGCCCACCATCACTCCCAGCTAACTTTCTGTATTTTTAATAGAGACGGGGTTTCACTGTGTTAGCCAGGATGGTCTCGATCTCCTGACCTTGTGATCCTCCCTCCTCAGCTTCCCAAAGTGCTGGGATTACAGGTGTGAGCCACCGCGCCCAGCCTACTTACTTCTTGATGATCTTGACCCTGTGTAGGAATAGGCTAATGTGTGTTTGTCTTAGTTTTTAACAAAAAAAGTTTAAAGAGTAAAAAAGTAATTAAATAAATTTAAAAATTTAAAAATAGAAAAGAATATGTTGGATAGGGATAGAAAGAAAATTCTTTTTGACAGTTTTACAATGTGCTTGTTTTAAATTAAATGTTATTACAAACGAGTCAAAAAGTTTTAAAATATTTATAGAGTAAGTGAGTTACAGCAAGCTAAAGTTAGCTTATTATTGAAGAAAAAAGTTTCATAAATTTTAAGTACAGTATAAGTCAACAGTAGTGCACGGTAATGTCCCAGGCCTTCACATACACTCACCACTCACTCACCGACTCACAGAGAGCAGCTTCTAGTCCTGCAATCTCTATTCATGGTACCCTATACAAGTATACCATTTTTAATTTTTATACTGTATTTTTACTGTACCTTTTCTATGTTTAGATATGTTTGGATATCAAATGATTACCATTGTGTTGCAATTGCCTACAGTATTTACTTTGGTCATCTGCTGTGCAACTTTGTAGCCTAGGAGCAATAACCTATACCTTATAGCCTAGGTGTGTAGTAGGCAATATCATTTAGATTTGTGTGAGTGCTCTCTTTGATGTTCACACTATAACGGAATTCCCTAATACATTTCTCAGAACATATCCTGGCTGTTAAGTGATATGTGATTGTACATCTCTAAAGTGCATATTCCTCCAGCACTCAAATTTCTTGCTGACAGCTTCCTTCTATTCATGCACAACTAGATATCACAGTGATGAGAAGCCATTGAGGCAGTGTGTACACATCAGCTTTCTAGAACACAACGCAGTGTAGAGAAAGTTAGAAAATGTATTTAGATAGGCAAAAGGATGTCTAGGAGAGAGTATCACTTTTCCCCCATTCTCCCAAGAATGTCTGTTCTTGCCTTTTACCCAGGTGAAAGACTTATGTCCTTAACACATGTGTCTTGTTATATCCTTCTCTCCATGTCCAAGTGGTATAAGGTCTACAGGGCAAAGGACCAGAAAGATGTAAGGAGGGCTATTAAGACAACCCTTGACTAATTATAACAGGGAACAAGAAAGTTGCCATAGCCCTTAGGCAAACCGGTAAAGAAGAAGACAAACATTATTTTATTATATTGTGTGGCTAAATATAGGAATTTTCATTAGATTCCCATGTAAAAGACACTGGAAGCTTTGCCAGTTATTAAGTTTGTTTACTGCCATCATACATTCTGGGAATGAAAAAATATATACATAGAATAAATTTGTAGTCTCATTGGACCCACTGCAAGATAGAATCAAACCAAGACTTCATCAATCATCAAAAACCTGCACTCTGTGCAGACCATGGTAAAATGCAAAAGTTCAGATATTATTGTCGGTTCAGAGGTGGTACCATAAACTCCAAAATGCTTGAATGCTTTCCTTATTTTTATTTTCTTGAAGATTTGTCATCGGCTAAAATCTGAAATTCCCTCTGCAAAACCATTGGAAAAGACTCATGGTAGAAACATGTGTCGTGTTGCTGAGTCCCTGAAAAGATACAGATTTCTCCTCAATGGACGACCACTGACTCAATAGATTGGTACCCGAGTTACCTCTCTGTCCTGCAACCACAGAATTTTTCTGCTAATATATGTCCTGCAATCCCTTAGTAGGCTATCAATCTATGTTATTCATTGAAACCCTATGTTTTGTTATTCACTGAAACCTTCTGTGATGTTAACCATCACCGAAGCTCCCTGCATATTAAATTTTATTACCGTTCCTGCCTTGAAATTTATTGGGATATTTGCATCCACCTTGTCTCTGGAGGGCAAGAACTAACCTTGCCTCTAGCAACTTTGAATCCCAATACTTCCACTGAGGTTTAGGAAACCCAAGGGTATTGCAGCATCTTTTGCCACAGTCCTAGCCAATAGCTTGATGATGGTCACACGTAGGCTTATAAAAATGCTAGTGCCCTTATAATCAAAGCTTTTTTCTCAATGCTTAACAAAGGCATGACCTTTAGACCATTGCTTAGGGTATGGCCAATGGCTATATGATCAGGTAATATAAAACATTTCAATACCAACATTATAATCCAGATGAAGCTTCTGATTCCTTCCTATATATACCCCCTAGAACTGATATTTTAACTGCATTGCCAATTTCTGGAGCTTTCTTTTGAGTACAGGCTTCAACCAGCCAGAGTAGCTGCTGACTATTAACATCCATCCTAGTGCTAGATCCAAACATTATATCCCCTGTTCCAGGTAAGGACAATTTATAAATATATTGGGTGGTATTTATCATTTCAAAATTTCATTCTCCTTTGTCTAGTACCCCAGAGTAACACTCTCATACATGCTTCTCAGACTCTTGTTAATTGAAACTGACAAACTTTTGTTACTTCACTGTATATAGAGTCCTGGAGTCAACTATGTTTTTCATTTGGTGTACGTTGGACAACTCCTATGGCCCCGAAGATAATGATTGGCATTTAGCATGGCCTTTGCAGAGAAAGTAGTCCCCAAATACATTTAAAAAGTTTTTTTGTTTTTGTTTTTGTTTTTGAAGGGAAATTCTAGTTCTCTCAGAAAGGGTTTGAATGTATGCCTCTGCCAGCAAGGGAGATTCAGGAGTACTGGAGGGGAGAAGAGAGTCCAAAATGTTCAGCTGGGTTTATGTCTTCCCAATTTTTTCCATCTATATCTCAAGGCATCATTCTTTCTCAACCAGTGAAGTGAGTATTTTATTGACACTGCAAATCTGCAACTCCTACAGCAAGCTCTGGTTATTGTTCCTTAGCCATATCTGCTCTGTAACTAGCAGAGGTAATGAACTCTTCAAAACTGTCATTGAGAATTTCTAATTTTCCATTTATTGTGTGAGTTAAGTGTGCACAACCTTTATTTTGTTCTTTTACTTGAGTATACTTTCTAGGGCTCTTAGGTGTAGCCAACCACAATAAAAATGTTTATCATCATTATTGTCATCAAAAGGATAAAATTCCAAAGAAACTTTATCTCCTGAAGCCTAGTTTTTTTTAATTGCATGTCTTCCCATGCTAATAACAGTGATATGTTGAAAATCTTTATACAACTATCTCCTACAACTTTCCAGTGTCCAACTATTCCTCAAAACCAATATATCCATAGGTTTCTCAGTATGTCTACAATTCAACCCCAGGATACTATTTCTAAGGTTTGTTTCTGGGAACTATTTCTGATACCAATTACAGTGTTATTTAAGGTTAACCAGAAAAAAAATAGACAGCACATTAAAATCAATATTTAGGGGGATGTTTAATAAATCAAGTCCTTTTACAAATTGTGTTTGTGTTTTAGGGAATTAAAAAGGAGGAGAGAAGTGGCAATACAGAGCAGTTGAGCTAGTAGTGGGTTTAGACATTTTTAATAACTGGCTTTCTAGAAAAAAATCTATAACAAAAATAAACCAAAAAACCTAATTTGTAGCTATGCTATTTTCCATGGTGTGAATGCTCCCACCATGGCTGACTTCAAGATGACACCATGGCCTTAATGAAGACAGACTTGGGAAGCAATGGCCACAACTAGATCTCAGGAGATGGTAAGAGCCATCAACAGCTCCAGCATATTCACACCACTGCCTGGGGTTAGCAACAGCAGGAAGGTTTTAAGACTCATAGACCAGAAAAGGCCAGGGAAAAAGTTACCTAGAATCAGAGATGGCAATTGCATGGAGAAGGATGTCCAGCGTGAATGATGCAATCAATTCATTGAATCTTGTACAGTGGAGTAACCAAGCGAATTAACAACCTGAACACTCCTCCTCCAACCTTTCAATCTCTTGTCAGTGCAAAATGTTGACCTAACTGAAACCATAAGCCAAGGGAACCCATGATGCAGTATGTAAGGGCCTGCCTTCCAGACACAGAGCAGCCAGAAGGAAATGAGAAGTAGACAGCAGGCATCAAACAAAAGATATCATATATATATATATATGTATACACGTTTCTGTATGTGTGTATATATATATACATATATATATATATATATACATTTCTGTTTTTGTCTTATCTACTTCACAGTTGGTTGTGCATGGTAAATATATTTTTTATTGATGTTTTCTGAGTGTACTATTCAATACAATTATCTGGGATACAGGTGGGAGAAATAATAACTCACCATATTTCTTGTTACTCAAAACCAATAGAAGTGTCATGTAATTGTAATTTGTAATTAAAATTTCAGGCACATAACTGGCATAGGATTCTGAATGGTTGTGGACATGTGGTTGCTTCCCCAAAAATTAGGAAAAATGTTACCAAAAAATTGTCAATAAGAATCATTGCACACATCTGTTTTGGAACATCACTCCCCCTATCCTTGACTCTTCTTTGTTATTAGAACTACCTGTAAGTCTCTGAACTAGATCTGCTTATTTGTCTACATGAACCATACTTTTCAGCCAGAAGGATCTCATTGTCACTCAAATGCATTATGTAAATTTATGCATTTTTTTCTCCAGTTCTTCTCCTTGATCTTTTTCTTACCTCTATAAGTCCAGCTGAAGTTCATACTGCTCTATGAAACTTTTTCCAAACACACCAAGTGCTTTTTCTCCCTCTTCTGAATTTCTAATTAAATGTAAAAACAAAAGAGGATGTCATCTATGCCACCCATTCATTACATATATTCTCATGCCTGAAAATTTACTTAGAAGGCAATAGACTTTTTTCTATTTAGACGTTCCAGGCATTAAGTCTATAATATAGGATTTTACTAATTTAACAATTGTCTTATTTGTACCATTATAACAAAATACCTGAGAAAGGGTAATTTATAAAGAACAGAAATTTATTCCTCAAGCTTTGGAGACTAGGACATTCAAGATCAAGGCAGCAGCATTTGGCATGTTGAGGGCCTTCCTGCTCCATCTTCATATAGTGGAAGGAGGAGGCAAGAGAGGAAGGAGGAGGCAAAAAGGAGCCAAAGAGTGGCAAAGCTGTGTTAGTGGCAGAAGAGCAGAAGAGAGAAGTTACTCCTGCCAGACCTTTTTTAGTGGTATTAGTCTATTCATGAAGGTGGAGCCTTCATAAGCTAAATATCTCCCATTAGGCTCCACCTCCCAACACTGTTGTATCGGGGATTAAGTTTCCAACACATGAATTTTGGGCAACACATTCAGACTATGGCAGCAATCTTAGGCAAACCACAAATATAGCTCTGGTTTCATCATGTGGGAAATGGGCAAAAACCAAATTTTTTAAAAATGCTGAAACTCTTATCTTATGGTTTAATTAATTTTACATTTACAAATGTTAATTATTATTAATACTTTTAAAGTAAATTTTCTATAGTTAGCAGAATCCTTGGATAAAGAAAATTACCCCTCACCCACCTTAAAAATTTAAGAACAAAGAGAACTTAAGTGACATTTTCAGGGTCATAATGCTAGCAGTTGGTAGAGCCACAACATAGATTCAGAGATTCCTCTGTCTTATTATCTTACAAAACACATGTTTCATCCTAGAACTCCAAGTCTAGGACACCTTGAGCCTTTCTAGTAAGTGTTTTCCAAAGGATTGCAGATGAATTAATAGAATCTGATACAGAGCTTCCAATATCAGATTTGAGGTAGTTTTTTTTCTTTATCATCACAACGAGAGTCTAGGTATAGACACCACCTGTTATAATAATGTGCTTAATTCATTGACCAGACCATCACTGTCATTACAGCTACATCTGTGCTTTTTGTTTCAGAGGCAGTACCAAAATTGTTTTCTTTCTTAATAAATAAATAAATATCTATACATGGCATGTATAACATATCAGTTTAAATATTGTAAATGAGCACAAATGGCTGCAGGAAAATTAATATTTTATAAAAATAATAATTTAAAATAAAGTCTAAAAAATAATGATTAAGAAAACACAAAATTATACCTAAAGTCATGAGAATAGAAAATAGAATTCAATGAAGTAACTGAAATCTAAATTATAGTGGAGTATTGAAGGCAGGGCCATAAACTAGAAAGACAAAAACTATGTAAGAAACAATAAAAGAATAAATAATAGACATGTCATATATGGGATATATTGGTAAATTGATATTAAAATATGTTATTTCTCTTGATCAAGAGTATGACATTCTCCTATACCGAATAAACAACTCCTCTAATTGAAATTCAAAATATAAAATCCTTTTAATGAACTGTAACTTCTTGGGAAGCCTACAACCACACAACAATAAAATCACTTAAAGCACAAAAATCAACTGGCTTGGAATTAAAAAAAAATTAAAAAAAGAAAACACATTAGTTGTTTCTCTTTGTTACATGCAATAACTCTCTTGGAAAAGTAATTAATATATATTTCCAAGGTCAAATAAAGCCTTAGTGTAAAATTACCTGTAATATGTATTTCATGAAATACATATACATATATATACACATAGATATAGATATGGATAAAGATATATATTAATATCTATATTAATCAGCTCAGACTGCCATAATAAACTATCACAGACTGAATGGCTTATGTAACATACATTTATTTCCCCACCGTTCTGGAAACTGCAAAGGCCAAGACCAAGGTACTGGCAAGGTAGGTTTTATTATGAGACCTCTTCTATTGGTTTGTATGTAGTCATCATTCACTGTATACTCACATGATCTCTTTGTGTGCTGAGAAAGAGAGATACAAAAAGAAAGGAGAAAAAGAGAGGGAGTGCACAAACTCTTTGGTGACTTTTTAAAAAATTATTTATTTATTTATTTATTTATTTATTTATTTATTATTTATTTATTTTTTTTTTTGAGACGGAGTCTCGCTCTGTCGCCCAGACTGGAGTGCAGTGGCGCGATCTCAGCTCACTGCAAGCTCCGCCTCCCGGGTTCACGCCATTCTCCTGCTTCAGCCTCCGGAGTAGCTGGGACTACAGGCGCCAGCCACCACGCCTGGCTAATTTTTTTGTATTTTTAGTAGAGACGGGGTTTCACCGTGTTAGCCAAGATGGTCTCGATCTCCTGACCTCATGATCCGCCCGCCTTGGCCTCCCAAAGTGCTGGGATTACAGGCATGAGCCACTGCGCCTGGCCGGGTGACTTTTTTTTTAAAAATTTTCTTTAAGTTCTGGGATACATGTGCAGAACCTGCAGGTTTGTTACATAGGTATACATGTGCCATGGTGGTTTGCTGCACCTGTCAACCTGTCATCTATGCTTTAAGTCCCACTTGCATTAGATATGAGTCCTAATGGAACCAACCCAAATGCCCATCAGTGATAGAGTGGATAAAGAAAATGTGTCACACATACACCATGGAATACTATGCAACCATAAAAAAGAATGAGTTTATGTCCTTTGCAGGAACATGGATGAAGCTGGTGCCTCTTCTTATAGGGACATTTATCATACATGATGGGGACCCACCCACATAACCTCATTTAACCTGAATTACTTCTTAAAGTCCCCAATTCCAAATACAGCCACTGAAAGTTAAGGTTTCAACATATGAATTTTAGGGAACAAAAACATTCAATCTATAACTATGTGTATATAGAGAAATATGTATATGTTTGTAAAAATATATATTAATTATATTCCTGTGTATCTTGTTAGCTAGCTACTACTTACTTGTCCTTAAATGATGTACAATCAGTAAATTATTGTTAAAAATATGTTTATAATATATAGATTCATTTATATCTAAATTTGAACCACATATTAAACTGCATTTTTATTAAGCTTAATCATAGAACTGAATGTCATAATCTTTATGATGTATTAAATTACATTTTTAAAATTATTATTCTCTTTTGTTATCCTCTATTTAGCTGTTTTCCTACATTAAGACTAAGCTGTAGCCTCGTGTCCCTCATTAATTCTTTTGTTCAACCTAACTAATCATTATCTACTCACTCTCTGCCCCTCTGCAGCAATATTGTCTTTGTTTACCTTCTTTCAAAGTAAACTGGTGTTTTATTATATTTTGTGCATATTAATGAATGTGTCAATACAAGAGATGTTGTTAGGAAACAACTTTGAAGAATTTTGATTACTGATCAAGTATGGAAAGCATGGATTTCAGGGGAAACAAAATGCCTCAGAGGATTTTAACCATAATAACTGAGAACAGGAATTAGGAATCCTCAGAGGAACTCTGTTACCTTAAGGGTTCATGGAGATTGTCATCTTGGTTTTAAACAAATTGAACTCATCTTTTGAAACTGACACTTCAGTGTTTTAAGTTATTCTTAATGAAAAAAAGTTGTTTTCTAGTAAGAAAAGTCTGATGTTGTTGATGAAAGTATGTCTTTAACTAGATAGAGGTGATTGACTTTTTTAAAAAAGGAGATGGCTAAGCATATAGGAAGGTATAATGATGCTTTCTACAGAAAAGCTGGGTTTCAAGTGAGATCACTTAATTTCGTAAGGTCTTACAATGTTAAGGCAGGACGTAGAAATGAATCGTATATTCACAAATACTTGAGAATGGAAATTTCTCAACCTAAGCCCTCCAGAGAGGCAAATTGTCATGTACTAGCACTTTAACAGGTAGTACAATGCCAAGGACAATGAGCAAGGGAACAAGGGTCTAGACATGCAGGAATGTGTTACTTAGCTAGTCACCTCTTGGTGTCAAATGCAACTAATTAATTTCCTGGAACTGTTTTTGAATGTCCTCATGAACCAATTTAGGACATTAATCACTAGGGATCAGGAGATTTAGGGAGAGAGCTCTTAACTTTAACTACCTCCTCTTTTAACTTCCACTTTGCATTCACAAGCATGAGGTCTTGAGCAAGTGCCATAGCTTCTTATTCTTTAGCTTCAACAAAGAATTCCCACTATAGGAGAGGAGACGCATCCAGCAGAGACTAGGTGATGTGCTGGCAGAGACTGCTGGCTTGGTCAGTTAACCTAAGTGGCTGCAGCAAAATTAGTGGGAAAAAAATTCCAGAAGTCAGTACAAAATATGTCACTCAAGTGACATATTAGGTAACAAATAGTTGGCCTTCCACTTTTAAAAAATAAGAAAATGCAGCTCCGATGCTTACAAGATACGAATAAATCAAACATCAAGAACCTGTATTACAGGATGGTCATGGTGGCTCACGCCTGTAATCCTAGCACTTTGGGAGGCCAAGGTGGGCGGATCACCTGAGGTCAAAAGTTTGAGACCAGCCTGGCCAACATGGTGAAACCCCATCTCTACTAAAAATACAAAAATTAGCTGGGCATGGTGGTGCATGTCTGTAATCCCAGCTACCTGGGAGGCTAAGGCGGTAGAATCGCTGGAACCCGGGAGGTGGAGGCTGCAGTGAGCCAAGATCACACCAGTGAACTCCAGCCTAGGCAACAGAGCAAGACTCCATCTCAAAAAAAAAAAAAAAAAAAAAGTCCGTATAATCTGTATCATATAAACCCCAACTATATGTTCAAATAGTGTGACAAGGATATGTATCTTATTATTTATTTATTATTTATTATTGATACTTTATATTCCACACTAATTCGTCTTTTGCTTTATCTGATCATCTCTAGGCCTGCAGATAAACATTTCATTTTTTGGAACCAGTGGCAGTGCTTTAGCCATCTTTTCATTTTATCTTTTTATGTTTTTAATCTGCTAACTCCTTGTCATTCTATAGTATTCCTTAAGGTCTTTGCATATGATTTGTAGTGTTTCATTTTTATTTCACATGCTGTTACCATCTTGCATAAATTCCATTATCAGTATGGATGTTTCTTCCTTCCTTAATAAATACAATAGCCTCGAGTGACTTGGTTTATTCATCATGACTTTCTGACTCACTTCTGCCTTCCATTCCTACAGCTTTGACATCCCTAATTCGCTTCACACCTAAAGCCACAAACTTCGTCTTGTTTTTTTATGTCATAACAATTTCTTATCTTTCTAGATTTTCTACTCAATTACTCTTGGCATTATTGTTAGGTCTCATATCACTTGGACATTTTTCAGCTTATTGATTCTTCCAATTCTATTTTTTAATCTCTAAACAGTTTAGATTTTAGAGTTCAGATTTCTAAACCTTACTTTGTCAATATGATAAATTAATGTAACTATTTAATTTTCATTGCTCAGTCTTGAAAAAGAGGGAGAGAGAAAAAAATACTTGAAACTTGCAAGAAATAACAATGTTTCTACTGAAAACCTATAACTATGGATCATTGATAAAAATCAAACCACCAAGCAATTCCAAATGAAAATTATCTCATGATCACCAACTTCTTCTACCAAGTCACCTACCTCAGTTGTAAGAAGAGCATCTTCCTAACATTTTTGTTGAAGTGATGCTTTTGATGTTCCTAACATCTTTGCTGGGGTGATGTTTTTGATGTTGTTGCTAACATCTTTGTTGAGGTGGTGCTTTTGATGACTCAAATAACAGGGACTGCATAACCTCTTATGAAATTAACATCAATATTTTTTCTTTTTTGTTCACTCAGGAGTGAATTCATGAAAAGCCAATTTGGGCCAAAAATATATGAAATGAAAGAATGAAATTTACAAAACTGAGTGAAGAGGGATGATGCTGTTTCAGTGGGCATTATTCTCAGGGAGCATACTTTGTCCCCTTCTTTTCACCACAGCCTGCCCTGAATCACGCTGTAGATTGGGGGTGTTCTCTGACTGTGTAACTGAATCTTCGGGAGAGGAATTTAAAAATGAATGGTGGCCTTCCTATGCCTCCCAACTGCTTTGCTACTCCCCAACTCACTCACCAACATCTGCATTTCTAGCCCATCACAGAAGTATATGCAGATAAACTGAAGGGATTAAAAGCATATGAGACAATTGGTTATTGCCTCATATTGCTCCCGCTGCTGCTGCTCCTGCTGCTTCTTGTTCTTGTTCTTCTTCTTGTTCTTGTTCTTGTTCTCGTTCTTGTTCTTCTTCTTGTTCTTGTTCTTCTTCTTCTTACTCTTCTTCTTCTTCTTCTTCTTTAAGATAGGGTCTCACTCTGGTGTCCAGGCTAGAGCACAGTGGTATGATCATGGCTCGGTGCAGCCTCAACTTCCTGGGCTCAAGTGATCCTCCTCCCTTGGCCTCCCTAGGAGCTAGGACAATGGGCAAGCACCACTATACACGGCTTCTATTTTTTATTTTTTCTGTATATACAGAAGGGGTCTTGCTATGTTTCCCAGGCTGGTCTTGAACTCAAGTGATCCTCCTGCTTTGGCATCCCGAAGTGCTGGGATTACAGGCATGATACACACACACACACACACACACACACACACACACACACGTGTGTGTGTGTTTATGCATATGTGTATATAATTTCCTCATTTCTTACATGAAAGGTAGCATGCTATAAATACTATTTTGAACTTTTTTTTTAACTTACAATATATTCTGGAATCATACCCTATTACTTCATAAAAATATTTCTAATTCTTATTTCCAGATGCATAGTATTCCAATGAGTAGATGATCATCATTTATAGAAACTTTTTGTTTCATTATTTATGCATGTGGGAATTTTCAAGATAGCAAAGACTTGGAACCAACCCAAAGGTCCATCAATGATAGACTAGATTAAGAAAATGTGGCACATATACCCCATGGAATACTATGCAGCCATAAAAAAGGATGAGTTCATGTCCTTTGTAGGGACATGGATGAAGCTGGAAACCACCATTCTGAGCAAACTGTCGCAAGGACAGAAAACCAAACACTGCATGTTCTCACTCATAGGTGGGAATTGAACAATGAGAACACATGGTCACAGGATGGGTAGCATCACACACCAGGGCCTGTCGTGGGGTGGGGGGAGCAGGGAGGAATAGAATTAGGAGATATACCTAATGTAAATGATGAGTTAATGGGTGCAGCACACCAACATGGCACATGTATACATATGCAACAAACCTGCACGTTGTGCACATGTACCCTAGAACTTAAAGTATAATTTAAAGAAATTTCAATATTTTATAATTTGAAGGATTTTTTTTGTAAATAAACATGTCAATATATATTTTCATAATATTGGAGGCAAACTGTCAAGGTATATATTTAGAAATGCACTTGGTGGGTCAAATGTAAATGCATGTGTAACTTACTGTATACTGACAGACCATCCTTCAAAGTGATTTACTAGTTTAGGTTCTGCCAATTACCCAAGTGCTTGTCATTTGCCAATTGATTTTGTTTACAGTGGGTTTCATTTTGTTTTGATTTGCTCCCTTTTTTTTTTTTTTGGCCAGAGCATTCTCTTTTTGATGACATTAGGATACCAAAACGAAGGTTTATTGTAGTTACCTACAAATGGAACCAATTGGTTTATACTAATTTTACTAAAGTTAATTTGATAGGAATAGAATAGCATTAAACTCAAGAACTTATGAGATTCTATACACGTATAGATTCTACAAGAATTAATACTATAATTTTTAGATGGGTATATATACTATTGTGGTAATACCAAGTAGATAGATGGATAAATAGCACTGAAGATGAGAAGAACGATTCTAGAGAGAGATTTAAAATATCGGCAAATAGATTGTATGTCATTCTGGTGGAAAGGAGAGAGGGAAGAGTAAATGGAATACTAAGGGCTGCTAGAGGAGAAGCAGCCAGCGAAAAGACATGGAAACAGAAAGAACCAAAGACATTCTTGACATTTGCAGAGAAATGGAAGGCTGAGTATGCTAAAGTGGATAAGCAGGAGATTTAAGATAGGAAGAGGCTGTCAGAGAAAAAGGAGGCCTATTGCAGTTTGAAACATTGATGAGTTGGGAAAAATGTTTCAATAATAGTGCATGAGCAAGTTAACCATATGTTGAGGACTATGTAGGTGGATTTTGGGATGTTTGAAATAGTGATTTCAGAGATGGTAAAATTTCTGAATTTTTGACCAGAAATGGTCAAAGCTAACATGGAGGAAAAAGTTACTAAGATGAAAAAAATTAGGAACAAACCTCAGATGTTGGTTGTGACATCCACAGAAATGTGAAGCCACTTAGAAAGATAACAAGTGTTGGGTCAAAAGGAATGTAATTCATTATTCAATTTATTAAACTGTCAATAAGTTCAGGAGTATGACTAGGAGGAGTATATTTGATTATGAAGCTGGTGAAAAAAGACGAGGAGATATAATTATCTTAAAAGGGCATTATGGTGCCAGAGAGACCTTGACCCACTTTCTCATGTGTAAAAAGTTACAGGGACTGAAAAACCTCCAACTGCAGAAGGGTTTAGAAATCAGAAAGCTTTTTTAAAAAAGTGTTAGGAGTATTTTGAATATAAAGGAGTTTGCTGACTCTTGGTTTTCTCTGTTCTTGTTACTTAAAGTTAATCCCGAAACTTCTTTAAAGTCATTTTCATTTTCTATTTGTTTTATCACAGTGGGGTGAGATGTCTTCTTTGGTTCCAGTGCTTATTTCAGCTGGATAAATATTTTTTTACCCAAACCTAAGACCAGTGGACCAGAATAATATTGTTCACAAAAAGAACACAACCTGAGCAATACAAGTGGGGGATGGTATAGTGCAAAGACAGGAGAGCCAGAGTGAGAGGGAAAGAAAGACTAGAAAATTAGTATCTTTCAATGTCTTTGTTTTTCTTATCTTCTTGATAAAGTGCTTGATACTGCACCTTGAATTAATCAGATTTTTGAGCTTTAAATAAGCCAAAAGAAATGACAGTTACTATTAGATAAATAGATAAATGAAATCACAGAGAAGGAAAATGCCCCCAAAATCAGTACGTGCCCTGGAGTTGACTTTAAAGTGTTTATATATGTAATTGGGAATTCTTCTATGAAAATAGATAAGTAATATCAAATTAGAGTTACTTGGTATAATAAGAATTTTTTTATTATTTATAGTGAGCTCTTTTCAAAGTATTATAAAGGATGTATCCTGTTATCCTATAAAACATTCTTCATAATAAACCAGCAAACACACATAAAGTGTTTCCCTGAGTTCTGTGGGCTGTTCTAGTGAAATATCAAACTTGAGGGAGAAATCATGGGAACCCCTAAATTTGTGTGTGTGTGTGTGTGTGTGTGTGTGTGTGTGTGTGTGTGTGTCTGCCAGCCTGGCAGAAATGTGGGTAGCATTGGCATCCCATTGCAACTGATATCTGAAGTGTAGGCAGTCTTGAAGGACAGAGCCATAAAGCTTATGGTGTATTTAATGTCAGAATTGAATTGAATTGTTGGATACCCACTTGGTAGCAGAGGATTGAAGAATCTCATAGGTCATCTATTAATTAGAAGTATAACCAAACAGAACCAGTGACTCAAAGTTTGTGAAAAATAGTTCAGATTGTAACATTAATTACCATGAATATTAGAAATGTGAAGGAGGACAGGGGTCTTGTCACACAAATGAAAATACGTGGAAAAAATATTTAACCTCCAGAAAATATTATAAAGTATAATTTCTAGGTCTATAAAACTGAAGCCATGATAACAAATAAATAAATGCCTCTAAAAATGCTTTGAAATCCTCTTCTGACACTCCAGAAGCTATTTTGTTGTAAGGCAAATCCATCTTGAATCACAGCCAAGTCCTGTTATGCCAAAGGACCTTGTTGTAAATCTTATAAGGCTGCTCAAATACAAGGACCCTGAGGACATAGAGAAAGATGCGAGCATATCTTCTTACACGATGTTCCAGGAGGCAAATGTTAATGCTCAGAAACTGCAAAAAAAACTGCAAAATGGCAAACCTTTATTTAGAACATGTCAACATTATCTTGAAGGGTATGAAGATAGGTACTACTGAAGAATCAGTGAATAAGGAAGACTTGGTGAGAAATAGAAATAAATGGAAAGTATAAGTATTTACCAATGTTTAGCTTACCTTCTCTTTAAGATTTAATAAATTATTTTCCAGGGAGAGTGGCTGTTTATTGTTGTATACCTATTGTTATTACTTGTATTTGTATTTCTTAGGTGTTATTGCATGTAAAGATATTGAACTGACTGCAGCCATACAGGTAAAATAGCAGATATGAAAGTGGGACTCAGCTCTTGGACTTCCAGTCTTTCTACTACGCTATTTTAAATTGTCTGTTCCCTTTTCTAAACCAGCTTGGAATGTGATACCACATCTATTCTCTCCCCCCAATCAATCAGGCTGATTCCAGTGTCAGTCTTCTCATGGAAAATGTCACACAGGCATTTTAAACAGGTTTGGAAATGATAGCAATTTCCAAAGAGTGCTCAGACCCATAAATTAACATGAAGCTATACTCTGCCACAGACCTTGAAGTGCTAATGCAGAGATATGTTCATAAGAAAAGACACTGATGTCAGAGTTGATATACCGTAAGGAAAGCAAAACTTAAGGCAGAAAGTAAATTTGAAAAAAATGTCATTGGGTTACTTTTTATTCAAGTTTATCAATGTCCTGCTCTCTGTTAGCAGATTCCTAAGAGACTTTAAAATAAGAAACTGCAGCCAAATAGTCCATTTATAGATCCTGACAAGGCAGTAGTCCCATTTCTTTGTCTATTTTCCTTTCTTGAGAAAATGGATTAGACAGTTTGGAGGAAAATCAGCACATCTTCTTTTCTTCAGTCCCTTAAGCCAAAAGTCTAGAGAAAACCTGGGCCTTTTTCTCTGACGTCTATTATTTTTTCAGAGTTGAACCAAAGTGTATACATTATATTTCAATAAGGCTATTTTTAAAAAGTCTGGATATCAGGATTGGCCATGACCTTCAATATCCATTCCCAAAACAAACCAAGAACACCAAAGTCTGGAACTGCTTAGTGGCTACTAGTTTTGTAACTGACTGATATTTACTACAAAACACAGGTACTCTAATTCAGGAATCACTGCTCACAAATTGGTATGAAAATACTCAAGAAATAAAGACGTTCCCTCTCATCTCAAATTGCCTTAATCTTGTCCTGTGTCTGATGGATTCTACCGGGTGTGTGTGTTTGTTTAACATTTAGCACAGTTTCTGTCTATGATATTATAAGAAGGTAGTATACCAAAGGTCCCATTGTTCCTATATTTATAAATCACAACAGAGACAGCATTTATAGCTAAATTGATTAATGTGGTACATTTCTATTAGAGATGTAGCCGAGTACCTTGCTTTAAGGAGACATGTCAGAGACCAGCTACTAGCATTCCAATCCTGGCTGACCATTGTTAATTGTGTCCTTGAAAAAACTGCTTAACATCTTTGTGATTCCATTTTCTTATCTGTAAAACTAGTGCAAAAATGCTATTAGTAGTTTCATTTTGAAATTAAAAAGAAATAGCATACATCTCTTAGGGTAAATACGCAATGTGTCTTTATTATGATGAGCCAAATTCACAACTTTATATTTGACAATTTGTGTGTAAGTTATGTGGGCAAATATTGCAATAATTTATATTGTAAAGGGATTTTCATTTTTTCCTCACACATCTGTATACCAAGCTATCTTTAGAATATTATTTTAACTAAAAGTGTTCACGGAAAAATAGCGTATCATTTGATAATCAGTGTGAAAAGAAATGCTTATCTATGATAGCATATAGCCTAAGGGACTCTTCTATTAATTTTGCAGTTTTTCTCCGAAAGCTGTATGCACACAGTGACCATGTCTTGATTTCTGTCGAGAGCCATGTCTGATATCTAGAGTTGGATGCTTCATCTCAATTTATCTTAAACCTCACACAAACATGAAAGTCAGAAAAGATTATTCCATTTTACATATAAAGAAACGGAGTCCCAGAAATGTTAATTGACTTTCCTAAGGCAATATAATTAATCATCGCCCAAGTTAGAATTTGAAACAAGTCTCTGATTCCAGATCCAGTCTTTTCTTCAGCTGTTTAAAACTTTCCTAGAGAAATATTTTTAAGCTTCTAAATATATTTATTTGATTGAAAATGTACAAAAAAGAGGAAATAAAGTCTTGAGCTGTTTAAAACTTTGG
Organism: Homo sapiens; assembly: GCF_000001405.40. Classification (NCBI taxonomy): domain Eukaryota; kingdom Metazoa; phylum Chordata; class Mammalia; order Primates; family Hominidae; genus Homo; species Homo sapiens. Next base: position 24,915,273 of record NC_000005.10, on the reverse strand, counting down.
ATGGTATCATTTTACTGGTGAAGGAAATGACAGCAGCCTCAGGCAGGCATGCTTTGAGCACCTGTCTCTTCTTAAAAAGCAATGTAATCCAACTTGAGAGGAGAGGGCAGGAAAGATAAGACCAAAAGTCTTGAAAACTGACAACTGAAAAGATAACTTGTTCTGAAGTATCTATGAAGATTTGAAGACTATAGCAGTATATAGAATGGTAAAAATATGTAAACTTGGTGTGGGAAGAAGTTTACAGTAATAAGCAATAGAGGAAAATTAAAACAAAAGAAAAAGCCAGGAGCACTGGCAAAGGCTTGAACTAGGTGTAGTTGAGAAAATGAAAATGATCTAGAATTCAAGTACAATTTAGTAATACTGTATGTTATAAATATGATGAACTATTGGTAATTGAAAATTTTATATAATTTGCTAAGTGAGGTGTTTACCAAAAAAAACTATTTTATGATCATCTAAACTAACATTTTGTTTTATTACCAGGAAATAGCTAATCTATTTATCAAACACAGTAGTGATTGGAAAACATATGTGTGCATCAGAATCATCTGTAATACTTATTAAAAGAAACTCCTAGGGCTTATTACCAGATCTTCGGATTTATCTGGTATTGTGTGGGGCCTGAGAATTTGCATTTTAACACATCTCCAGGTGATGCTAAAGATGCTAGTCTTAAGAGGATACTTCAAAATCTCTGAGTGTTGTTATTTATTAATTTACACTTAAAATCTTTGACTTCTGTAATCTGTCAGCCATAGCTATCAAGGGATTAGTAGCAGAAGTAAGACCTACTCTCTGGGTAGATACTGATAATTCATGTATATGAATTTCAAATGATTTGATCTTTGATTATGGAAAATGTAGGTCTTAGGTATTGAGCCTTTAGTTGAAAACCTCATAACCACTTTGTCAATTATTTAAGTTCTTATCATCCAGACAAACCCAATGTAACTAAGCTTCTCTTATAAGTCTGGTGAGAAAATTGGGACATGTTTTTTAGATAAATCAAAGAAAATGAATCTCATACAGACACATGCTTTTTAAAATTATTTTTAAAAATGTAGTTATAGTAAGGAGCACTCAACACATACATATGCACAACAAGCACACACATATACACACTTTGAATGTGTACACACTTTTATTGTGAGTACACACACTGATTTCATATCACATAGTACCATAAATCAGACTTGCCTTGTTGAATAGGCCGCAAAGTCCAAGGGATCCCTCTGTGCACTGCACAACTGAGAATGTAAAAAGAATAGAAATAAAATTAATGTTCAAATAGTTTATTTCAATACAATAAACAACTCATAGAAAATTCCATTTAAATATTTAGAAAGGAATAAAAAAGCTATATATAAGCCTGATCATTGAGCAAATATGGAGTTTGCAATTTTTCCTTTACTTCCTGGAAGGAACAGGGAAAACAATTATTGCCTGACTTAAAAGAGATTTTGAATGGTGGTTTTGCTTCTTCTTCTTCTTCTTCTTCTTCTTCTTGTTCTTCTTCTTCTTCTTCTTCTTCCTCCTCTTCTTCGTCTTCTTCGTCTTCATCTTTATCTTCTTCTTTTCTGATGGAAAATGTATCCAGTTGTAGAAAACATAATATAAAATAAATAATTTACCTTTCACCTATTGCATATATTTCCCATGTTAGAAATTTAATTATTCCAAATGACAAATGCTGAAATGAGCATTAAAGAAGAGCATGAAATGAGGAATTAAAGAAGAGATTCATTTCAATTACTTAGAACAGCAATAGCAACAACAAAGATTTTACTAACTTCAATCTGTTTTTCCCTTTAATAATTTATCAACGTGTTCTTTAAAAAAATATATGGAAGAACTCATGATTGCAAATGAGATTTTAAAACACTCTAATTCAAAGTTTGTTAAATGTTTAATTTGTTTAAAAAGTTATTGAAATAATTTAAGAGCTAAGTTTTAAATGTGTTTTTTGCCAAACAACATTATATAATTCCTCTGAGTACAATGCGGTGTGGTATTGACTAGTCTAGGAGACAGGATTCCTGTCTTATGTCTAGATTCTGAGTCACTTTGAGATGTTTGGGAGGTCATATTTCTACTTATTTTCTTATGTTGTTATATTTTACTTAAAGTTGACATAAAGGAATAAAAATGTATAGTATTTGCAGAGCTGATGAAGAAAAGCATGCAAATTATGCAAATATCAACTATTATCCTTTTAGAATACAATAATTAATTGAATAGCTATCTAAAATAGAAAACTAACAAGATTTGTGCCTATCTATGCTATGTCGGTAAGATATTTTTATAATATTATTGAGATATCCTTGTATAAAATGTTCTGTAAGTCCAAATAATCCATTTTATAAGCATTATTTATGTATTTTGGGTTAATAGATTACATAGATTAAATAAATTCCCTAGTAATAATCCGTGTAGCCAGTATAAAGAAAAAGGAAACAGAAATTTTTTAAAGAGAATGACAAAACAAAAAGGCAGATATAAGTTCTAACATTAATAATTACACTGTGTAAATGGAAAATGAAGCAAACAAAAGACAGAGTCTGACAAAGAAAAACTATGACTCAACTATATGCTGCCTACAGAAAACTCACTTCAAATATGATATAAGCAGAAGGATGGAAGTAAAACTATCAAAAAGACATTATATAAATGTTAAAGGAAAAAAGTGTGGCTATATATATATATGAAGTCTACTTTATCTGATTATATATGTGTGTGTGCATATATACATATATATATATCTACAGCAATTATCAATATATCTTTATCTAGAGCAACCATCGATATCTAGAGCAACCATCAATATATGTCCATATGTATATATAGAGAGACATAAAGGAACATTAAATAATGATAAATAGGTCAATCCACCAAGATGACCTAAATGTATATGCAATAAGCAAGAAAGCTGTAAAATATTTTATTCCAAGCCTATAGAACTGACAGAAATAAAAACAAACTCACAATTACAGTTGGAGGCTTAAATATCTTCCTCTCTAAACAAATAATGGAGCAACTAAATAAAAATCAGAAATAATTTAGAACTCCATGACTTCACCAACAAACAGGATCCAATAGACATTTATCAAACACCCCAGGCAACAACAGCATAAATATTTTTTTCAAGTGCCAACCACTGTATGCCAAGATAAGCAATATCTTGGGCTATAAAACAAAACTTAACAGATTTAGAAGTATTGGAATTATGCAAAGTGTATTGTCTAACCACAATGGAACTAAACTAGAAATCAATAAAAAAGCTAAAATTAAAATATCCAAACACTTGAAAAAGAGCAGCATGAGGACCATTCTTGTGATGGAAATGCTCTGTATCTTGATTGTATCAAGCCAATATCCTAATTATGTGCTATATTCTAAATATTGTACTATAGTTTTCAAGATGTTACTATTAGGATAACTGGTAAAGTATATTTAAGATCTCTGTATATTATTTATCACAACTGCAATGGATTTACAATTATTACAAAATAAAAGTTTAATTTAAAAAATATATATTGGCCGGGTGCAGTGGCTCATGCCTGTAATCCCAGCACTTTGGGAGGCCGAGACGGGTAGATCACCTGAGGTCAGGAGTTCGATACCAGCCTGACCAATATGGGGAAATCCTGTCTCTACTAAAAAAAAAAAAAAAAAAAAAAAATACAAAAATTAGCTGTGCATGGTGGCATGCGCCTGTAATCCCAGCTACTCAGGAGGCTGAGGCAGGAGAATCACTTGAGCCCAGGGGTGGAGGTTGCAGTGAGCCAAGAACGTGCCACTGCACTCCTGCCTGGGTAACAGAGCAAGATTCCATCTCAAAAACAAAAATATTTATATACACATATTAGGAGCAGAAAAAATCTCTGATAGCATTAAGGAATAAAATGCTTACATATAAATTTGGTAAAACATCAACAAAATATATACTATAAAAATGATAAAACGTTGATAAAAAATACAAATATTCAAATAATGCATAGTAGAATGTATAAGAAAATCTAAGTAATCTAGAAGGGCTTTAATAATTTTTTAAAGCAAAATCAAATAAAAAATTTGAGCATATACATCACTTGCTTACCAGGCTTGCTACAAAGTTATATTCATCAAAATGGTTTGGTATTGATATATAATAAATAAGTTGATCAATCAAGAAGAATGAGTAATCCAGAAATAGAAACACACAGATATCATCAATTATTTTTCAATAAAGGCATCAATCCAAGCAAAGGAGAAAAAAATGTATCTTCAACAAATGTTGCTGGAGCGATTGGATGAACAAACAAAAACAAAAGTTTTGCCTAACCTCTTTCTCTCATCAGGCAAAAAATTTGTTTCATATGTATAATACGCCTAAACTAAAAAGTAAAATTTATAGGTTTTAGAAGATTCCATAATCAATATCTTCAATATCTTAAATTGGTAAAGAATATTTGTCAAAAACACAGGTAAACTAATAATAAACAACATTTATATATTTTACTCTATTAAAATTAGAGATTCTTATCAAGCCATATCATTTCATTTTTATTTATTGACTTATCTTTATTATTTTTTCAAAGGCTAGTAGAATGAAACAGTGGGAATAGAAAAAGAACAAATAAATATGTAACTGGTTGTGATCAATTAGTTGTAAACACGACTGCACTCAGACTAGCTCGTATTATTTTAAGACGAAAATATATTCCAAAGACTGAGAAAAATTGACAAATGATACACATTTCTGACATAAGAATTGATGCAACTATACATGTGTGTATAAAAATGTATATGATTATATATTGCTGCATGTAAGTATTGGATTGGTGCAAACGTAATTGCAGGATTTGCCATTACTTTTAATAGCAAAAACCGCAATTACCTTTCCACCAACCTAATATATATATAACTATATATATATATCACTGTGTGTATGTGTTTGTGTGTATTGGTGGTTCCCAAACCACAATTAGATTCAATAATTCACTGGAAGGACTCAAAGAACTCAGAACAAAAAATTATACTCAATGAAGTTTGTTGCAGTGAAAGGATTCAGATTAAAATCTGCAAAGGGAAAAGATTTATAGGGTAAAGTCAAGGAGAAACCAGGTACAAGGGTCTAGGTTTTTACAGTCCGAATGTTTGTGCCCCCCCAAAATTTGTATATTAAAACCTAACTACCAAGACAATGTTAAGCAGTGGGATCTTTGGGAGATAATTAGGTTATAGGGCTCTGCCCTCATGAATCAGATTCATGTCCTTATTAAAAAGGCTGTAGAGAACTTCTTTGTTTATTTTTCCCACCATGTGAGGATACATAGACTAGGGAATCATCTATGAGAAATGGGACTGCATGAAACACTAAATTTTCTGGCACATGGATGTTGAACTTCCTAACCTCTATAACTGTGAGCAATACATTTTTGTTGTTTATAAATTACCCAATCTAAGGGATTTTGTTGTAACAACAGAAAGGACAAAGACACAAGTGTCCTCTCCCGGTGGAGTCATATCGGGATGCACTTAATTCTCCTACCAACAACGTGTGGCAACACATGCAAGGGAAGCTCAACCAAGCTTTGGTCTACAGAGTTTTTATTCAATCACATAGGCATGCAGCACCTGTGTGACTTACCACAGGTACCCATATTTCAGAACCTCCCACAGGCAAAGAGAAAAACAATTGTTCACTGTAAATCACACTGTTTGCATAGAATTATCTGGTCAAACACATATAGCATGGATGAAGTCCTCAGACATAAAAGAACAGGCTGTTCAATATAATTATAGCATTGCACAAGGCCTTTGGTATAGAACATACATTATAATAGTATAAAGGTTATCTTTTAGGAGCTGTCCAAGGATCACAGTTCTGAAGACAGGTCTTTTAGGAATGTGTAGAATCTGAGTAACCCAGGTCTGATCCTAACCTGAACCCTGAGAATGAAGCCCTCAGGCATGGGAGTAAGATTCTTTTAAAAGAAGCCCAAGGAAGCTTGTTTGTTTGCCCATTTTACCATATGAGGACACAGTGAAAGGAGCCATCTATGAGAAAGTGAGTCCTTACCAGGCATTGCTTCTGCCGGTGCCTTGCTCTTGAACTTCCCAGCTTCCAGAAGAATAAGAAATAAATTTACGTTGTTTATAACCTATGTAGTTTTTTGTATTGTTGTTCTAGCAGTCCTAATGAACTAAGATAATATTTCTTCTTAAATCAATAAATGATGCAGGAGATGAGTTAGAAAAGCGTTTAAGAACACTTATTTACAGTGAAACTACATTTTCATATATTAAAAATGACAAAATTATGATATTAAAATATATGGTACTAATAGAAGGTGAAAGAAATGGAGGCAAATTTTATATTAAAGATCAAAATTTTCATGGCCATGTAATATACTAAAAAATGGCATTTCTTACTCATAGGCAAAAGATGTATTAAATTGATTTGGGAGATATCTAGTTAAACATGGCTGATCTAACAGATGAATTTATCTGATATTATTTGACTATGTCCCCACCAAAATCTCATCTTGAATTGTGATTCACATTACCTTCACGTGTCCTGGGAGGGACTGGGTGGGAGATGATTCAATCACGGGGGCAGTTACTCTCATGCTGTTCTCACAATAGTGAGTGAGTTCTCACAAGATCTTATGGTTTAATAAGGGGCTTTTCCTCCTTTGACTTGGCACTTCTCCTTCCTGCTGCCGTGTGAAGAAGGATGTGTTTGCTTCTCCTATTGCCATGATTGTAAGTCTCCTGAGGTCCCCCAGCCGTGCTGAACTGTGAGTCAATTAAATCTCTTTCCTTCATAAATTACCCAGTCTCAGGTATGTTTTTATTAGCAGCATTTGAAAGCTGACTAATACATTATATCTGACTAATTTATCTAAATTTCTGTAAAATGTCTTAAAGTTTTTACAAAACACTCTCAAGCAAACAAAAGATATTTGATGATAAAATGTTATAATGATTTATCTGTAAAATATTGAAAATGAATGGAAGGAAGCCTTTTAACTGGCTTAATGAAGAATAGGTAGCTTTCTATACGTGTCTGCAGAGGAGGTGTAAATGAGCAGAAAGCTAATTTAGATATTGAAATGCCCCAAAAGATGAGAAATTGGCAGGACCCTTTACTGTTGATCACAAGGTTAAAATGTGGAAATAAAAACAAGGAGTCTATCTGAAAACATACATCCCGAGGATTTAAATTCTGCAGTTCCACTCTTTCCATAGAGACAGTTAATTACCTTTTCTCCACCTACATAAGAAATGGGCGGTTTCCTCTCCAGAATAATTTGACAGGACAAGTTCGAGTTTCCAATATGTCAGTGATTGATGTTTGGCAAGGTGATAAATTCTTATAGTAAGCAAGCACATTAAATGAAAATGTAAATATTAAACTGTAATGACTCAAGCTTCCTTCCACCATTCAATTTTTAGGGCAATCACGGCCAGCCCTACGCTTTCCATGTAGAATACAGAAAGGTTTCTCTCTGAAAAAGCTAAATGTTTCACAACCAAGAGCTACTAACATTGAAATATGAGAATTCTCAACAACAAAAATTGTCCCATTGTCACATTAGTATGTCCTACTTAATATCAGGTGGATAGCAAAGAGTCCCCAATATCTGGCAAAGCTTCTGTTGTGAAAGACAGATGAAGACCAAAGAAAAAATATTATGGTTAAAAAAAGAGGGAACCTTAGAAGCTAAATGAAACCTTAAATATATTAGTGCTACTCTTCTTTAGAGAAATGAGGGATGTTGAAACTAAGAAACAAAAACAAAAGTATTTAAAATGAAATGAGAAAAAAGAAAGAAGCTACAAATATATAAAATATGGTCACATTAAAATTTCCATTAAATTTTGGAAATAAGGAACAAGACAATCTTTGAGGAAATAGAGGGAGAATAAATGAACAAAGAAAGGCTTTAATAGTATGAAAGAAAACCTAAAATTAAAGGTTCAATCAAGAGATGCAATTTAAAGCTCAGGGGAGTGCCAAAGGAGAGACACAGAGTATGAAATGGAGGAAAATATTAAAGAAGCAACATAAGAAAATATCCCAGAACTGCCAGTGTTTCTCAGAATCAACCACTACAAAGAGACCAGTACCCAACCCTATCATCATCATGAAATTTCACAGTGCGCAACAAAATGTTTCAGACAGCAAACATTGTGCAGCCATTAGATTAAACAGTACCAGTAAAATATAGATGGCTGAAATAAATACATGTAAATTTCTAAAGAAAAATGATTTTCTGCCCAGACTTCAGTATGCAGAAAGAAAACATCAACTTGCAGGTGGAGTACACATTTTTGCGGTATTACATGCTCTCAATAAATACATGTGCAATTTATAGCAAAAAAAACATAGGATGTGATTCACTGAATATCAGAACAAGTAAACAAACAAAAACTGTGAATGTGTGAACCAGAAAAAAAAGAATGTAAAGATAAAGAACAGTCACCAAAATTCTGAGAATTCCTTGTAATATTATGCAGAAGTGATGAGCATTGTCACCATGACAAAAAATTCAACTAAACCTTCAGTAAAATGGAATCAACATAGGTCTTAGAGTTATTCTGTTGAGTGTGGAAACAGTAGTAAATATATGGAAAAAGAAGCAAACTAGAAGTGTGACAATTGTTAATGGACACCAGCAGAAATCAGGGGCATACAAGCAAGTAGAGAGCTGACAAAAAGTGGGATTCTTTTTTCTCATCACCAATATGAATTTGTCCTCACAATTTCTCCATATTTAGAACTGACATTGAAGGGCCACAGAATAGACAAAACACACATGTTCATTATAAATGTGACTGATGGAATGATATTATAAACTGGAATAGTGAAAAGTCACAGAATATCTAGATTAAATGTCTGATAAATCGGAGATTGTCTTAGTTCAGAAATTTTCACCAAAGAAAAAGGTAGAGTAAAGATAACTGTAAGTTTACATACGCAAATTTATGACTGTTAAAAAGTTATAGCAGCTGCAATATTGACCTAAAAAAAAAAACTCTACTTATTTAGTTGCCTGACAAAATGTTGGTATTCATTTTATTCTCTTGGATTTTTTTCTTCCTTTTATTTGTTTTTCATGGCTAGTTTCATAGGCTACAAATTCTGCAACAAAACGTTGAATAAAAAACAATGTAGGGGACATACCTGTATGCATTTATTCAATCTTAATTATGTGCCTATCAATATAATAGCTGTTACGATAAGAATTTTTAAATTGTATTTTTTTGTAGAGAAGGAGACTCACTGTCTTGTCCAGGCTGGCCTCCAACTCTTGAACTCAAGCAATCTTCTCGCTTTGGCCTCCCAAAGCACTAGGATTACAGATGTGAGCTACCAAGCCCAGCCCTCAGATGATATAATAACTACATGAAATTGCATGAATAATTTTATTGTGATTTTTTCTCTAATTGCATGACAATTTTTCCATTGTGCTTACTTTGTTGTTGTTGTTATTTTTCTAAGAACATTATAATATATATTGCCTGGTGGACATGAATATGATTTTTTTCTTGCTAAATAATCTGAGTATTACTGAGGTCATTTTACTTTTAATATAAGTTACAAATTTTTGAATGTTTATGTCACACATGCATATAGTACTATTCGATATAATCAATTCTGCAGAGCTTTCTTACTATGGTTGATGTCTTTGCCTTTAAGCTTGAAAATATTTCCTCATCTAGAGATGTGAAAGAAGAAGGAGGAGAAGGAGAAGAAAGAAAAAGAAAGGAAGTGATAGAAAAGAAACTTGTCCTTCAACATGGATAGGTCTCTATGTTGCTTGTGGAGAGGAAGTTGCACTCTCCATGTATTCTTACACTTTCAGCAGACCTTGCTGGGTGCCTTACCAATTACTGGTTGGTTGGATCATCTTTCTTTATAGCAGAGCCCATGCAACAGGCCTAGCGACACATTTCGCAATGTCTTATGCAAGGGTATGTGACACAGATTTGGCAATGTAAAAATATGGTAAAAACTTCCTTCTTAATGTAAGCACATTCTTGCTCCCTGACAGTCACACTTTCTTCCAGCTTAGAATGTAAACTTGATGGCTGGTGCAGAAGCAACTTGAGCAGTAGGAAGCTGAGGGGAAGGCCAAAAAATGGCAGAAATCTCAGCCCTAATATGAGTCCTTGAAATAATTTTACTCTTCTAATTGTTTAAAGAAAAATAAGCCCATAATTGTTTAAGCCAGTGATGAACAAGTTTTTAGTTTCTCACAGCTGAGTGTAATCACCAGCTGCTGCAGCCCTCCATGAAGTTTCAACCTGCCTGCTGGAAAAGCATTACTAGTGGAATGATTCTCCCAGTCAGGGAGGTAAACAGTCCAGGTGCCAAGAACAATTTGCTTCTCCTCTGATGTGCTGTCTCCCACCGATATTTGGAAATTCAGTCATTACCACCTTCCCATGGATAACCCTAGGGCATTATGTGAAAAATTACTCCTGTAATGTGTCCCTTCAGTTCCAGCCACTCCAGGATGCTGCAACACTTTTAACATGGTTAACTCCAAAATAAGGCATACGCTTTAGAAATTAAGAAAATTTGAAAGGAACACTTTATAGTATGAGGGTTACGTAGTGTAAGGTGTCAACCTATACCTGTGTTGCAGAAAATCAAACATGCAATTTTCATATTGAAGTTTGTGGCTCTGAAAAGAAGTAATCTTTGAAGTTCCTGATTTGAGGCTCAGAGGCAAGACGCTCTTGAATGAGCTAGTACAGGAGTGAGCAAACTGTAGCCTGCAGGCCAAACCTAGTCCTACACCTGTTTTGCAAATAAAGTTTTATTGAAAGAAAAGTCACACTAGTTTCTATACATATATATATATATATATATATATATATATATATATAGAGAGAGAGAGAGAGAGAGAGAGAGAGAGAGAGAGAGAGAGAGATTATATTTAGTGATATTTGCATGACAGAGTTGAGTAGTAGCAACAGAGACCATATGGCCCACAAAGCTGAAAGTATTTGCTATCTGCTGCTTTGCAGGAAAAAAAATGCTGCCAAATTTTAGCATTTATTTGGCTTTTTGTATGAGGGTATTATAAAACAAATAAACCAAAAAGAGTATAATGTATCTGAAACTCCATCAAATATGTGATTTTTTAAAGAGCTATGTGTTTGAGAAACTTTTAGCTAGATGTAACAAAATAAAATTAAAATAGAAATAATAAGTTTAAGTCTTAAAAAGCTCAACTTCAAAATAATTAAAATATATTTAACAGAAGAAGATTAAATGCTGTGTAGACACCCTGTAAGATGGGTTTACTCACATTCAATTAGATTTGCTGGGTCCCTGAAATGTGTGACTTGTCTAATTCAGTTTTTTAGCCATACAATTAGGAATTTTATATTATAAATATTTTTTATCATTGTTGAGATGAACACAATTCATTTGGTAATAAGTTTATTAAACAAATCTAAATATATATAACTATAATCTATTTAACTATTTTGAACATATTGCTTTCTTCTTAAAATGCATATATTTTGTGATTTATTAATGCATGACTAAATATAAGTCAAACATGAAGAAGCTTATTAAATATATGTCGTGTAAAAAATTGTTTTATAGATTCAAAAGTTATGAGACATCCTTTTTTTCCTAAGGTCAAAAACATGTGAAAAATAAAAGGCTATTATTATCTATATTATTATTATAGATTAATAATATATTATTAATTCTATCATTAGCATTTTAACAGAAACTTCATAGTTATTAAACATATTTATTAATTTTATATTTCGGGGTAACAATAACACCTGTGATGCAACTTATGCAAAATTGCTTTGTAAACTGTGAATGCCTTTATTTTTATTCTAAGCTTTTATTTTAGATGTAAGAAACAGTAAGCTCATAAATTGTAACTGAACTACATAACATTTGAACTAGTAGTAACTAGGAGAACAAGGTCAAAATTTTATTCTGCATTTCTGAAAAGAACAAAAGGATGGTATAAGTATGTTTGCATAATTTTGTGAAGCTTGAAACTATGCATCATGTCTATGCACATTTGAAGCAAGATGGCAAATATGATTACCCTAAGGAGCACACAGGTTTACTTAAGAATTGTAGAGTCGCACAATTCATGAGGTCTTCCAAGCTATTTTCAGCCCATTAAGAAGCATGGACATGGGTGTGTCATCTAGGAGAAAGCTCCTACATTTGGGTGCATAAGACTTTATGCACCAAAATAATCTGTTGTTCTTGGCAGATTATTAAACAGTGGTAGCTCCCCTAATCACCAGAAGTGTCTGTCTGGATAAGAGAGCCACCAAGGCCAACCAGAAAGCAGGGATTCCAAGACTTTCAAATTGACAGAAACTGAAAAGAAGGGTCTCACCATATGTCAGTTTTGTACTTTCAACTCAGAAGATAATAATGGAACAAGGAATCATCATAAAATGCTCTGCTTGAAGTAGTGTAGAACCCAGTAATAACATTTTTTACTTTCATGTTACTGTTATTAATTTCATTATTTTTACTTTGTTTAGTATTATCAATATTTAACAAGCTCAAATAACAAGAAATAGACCCATAAAAGTCTCTCTTTTTGTGTGAGAGAGAGAGAGAGACAGGGTTTCTCTCTCTTCCCCAGGCTGGAGTGCAGTGGCACAAAAATGGCCCACTGCAGTCTCAACCTCCTAGGCTCGAGAAATCCTCCCACTTCAGCCTCCCGAGTATCTGGGACTACAGCCACTTGCCATTACACCCGGCTAATTTTTTTTTTTTTCATTTTTTAGGAGGCAAGGTCTTTCTATATTTCCAAAGCTGATCTCGAACTCCTTGCCTCAGGTGATCCTCCCACGTGATCCTTTGCCTGGGTTTCCAAAAATGCTAGAAATACAGGTGTGAGTCACCATGCCCAGATCTTAAAATAAACTTTAATGATAGATTGATATTTATGTTCAGCGAAGTTAACAGTCAGATGAACTGCACTAAGAAACCAGTGAAGAAATAAAGTTTTGTTCAAGCATTTGATTTTCAACTGATGCTGCCTGACGCTATATGTCATACAATAGAGTAAGCAAGCAACATGACAATGTATTTCAGACAGTTTATGCACTGGAAAAACATATACCCTTTAGATTGTTAAAGTATAATCGGTTCATAAAGTCTAGCTGCTATTTATAGATTAACATAAAAAGAAGATATAATCTACTATTTTTCTGTGCTAATTTTCTAAACTGGCTCTATAATCCTCTAACTACAAACATTTACATATAGGATATTTATGTTTTTATCAACTTGATATAGAGATGAAGAATACAGAACAAATCTCAGTGTATTTATGACCTGCAACCCTCAGGATACAAAAGCTCAACGTAATAACTATAATTACTGATAACAGAAGATTTGAGTTTCTAGAAAGCTAACAAGCATAGTTTTACTGAGGTAGATATAACAAGAAAACCAGGAGATGAATGGCTTCCATGTCTATTTAATAGACATTAATAACAGAAAAAGAAAAGCTATGCTTTTTTTTCCAAAATCTTTTTGGGGAAATGTATTCTCGAATCTCAAGACTGCAGTGGGAAAACAAACTTAAGAAGGACTCATCCCTCACTCTGAGATGGGATGTTAATTTTAAGAAACTCAATTCCATTGTTCTGCTTTCCCCTTTAGTAAATGACCAAAATTTGGATCCTCATATTAATGAAGACATAATTCCAAGGATCTTGTCACCATCATATTAGGTTGCTTCTAGTTGCTGCCACAAAAATGTTAAAGCAGAAATCTTACATGGAATTAAGTTGAGGAGATGAATGGTACTATCAATTGTTACCTTTTTTTTGCACATAAAACTTTATCTTAATGGTCTAGGACTAAAAGCACTTTGATTGGGATGTTGTTTCCCTTGATACCATCAATCGATCTCTTACATAGTAGAGGCAAAGAAGTTGGTTAAGATAAGCTGTTTCTGAGAATGATTTCTCTCTCTCTATTTCTCTCTTTCTGTCTCTGTCTCACTTTTCTCTTGACTCTGTTGAGCTCTTTCTCCTTGTTTTAAATATGTGTACAAATATGATGGCCTGTGCCAAAACAGCACATTTGCAACCATGAGGTGAAAGAAAATGAAAGACTACATATTGATATTTCTATCCATAAGGATGTTAAGAGCTTCAAATACTTATGGCTTAGGTCAGCAGCCAGTATAACTTTGGAACTGCCTAATTATCCTTCTATCTCACTCATTCATTTTTTTATAATTTTAATTTGTTTTTCTCACTGGCGCACCCAGTTCATAGATCCCTTAATTCTCTTATTGCTTATCGGCATTCTCCTCATTTTCTTCTAAATTCATCATAATTTCAGTAGTTCATCCCTTCAGTCATTTTCTTATTAATTTCCTCATCCAGCATACTTCAGTTGCACTTCAACAATTAACAAATAATTTTGTTTGTGTGTGTGTGTGTGATTGTTGTTGTGTCTCCAGATGCTGCTGTGATATTATATAGATTGGTGTCAAAAAAAACCCATTTAAAGTCATTAACTTCAATTATATCAATTCCCTCTTCCATTTCTCTGGAAGATAATTTTCAACCATATCTACTTGATCAAACTCTTGCCCCAACAACATTTTACATTTGTTTATAGCTGAATTTATTCCAAACATGCAGACCCTAATAAAACTTTCACCAGACAGATGTGAATGCTTGCTGATACCCACACTGCCTGTTACCATCCTCTTCCTTCGCTGTTATAATAAAGCAGATATTCATGCTCTTATCCAGTTACTACTCTGCCCTAATATTTCCATATCTTCTCAGAATCTTAAAACATTTACTTTTCTTTTTTTTTTCAGTATCATCAATGCATTCAGTTCTACTAGTTCCTTTGATAAACGTCTGCACGATGTCAGATCTCTTATGTTAACACCCCTTCCCCAAACAAACTAAAACAAGCACAAGGAGGAGAAAATGAAAAGCATTTCTATCAGCACAAATCACCTTATAACTCTTTGTCCATCTCATCCTCCTACTTCAGAATCAAGTTTTATGAAAATGTCTATAGTGCTTTCTCCATTATTTTTCACCTCCAAATTACATGAACATGTTTTAGCCTCGGTGATTTATTTCAGTTACTTTTGCTAAGTTTACTTATGGCATTAAAAAATAAATTGCAAGAATATTTTATTTATATACTGATGACTCCCAAATGTAAACATCATAGATATTGCTCTCAACTTCTATATACTGATGACTCCCAAATGTATACATCATAGATATTGCTCTCAACTTCAGATTTATTTATCAAATCACATATCCCTGACTTTTTGATGTAATTTATACTCAACAGGTATTTAAATGAATATATTGTTAATTGCTCCACAAATTATAAAATGTTTCTCCTCTTTTATTATGTCGAAGTCACCTCATTCTCCTTTTTCCTTTTTCCTGCCCATATGCAAAATATTGTTGATTCAAAATATCACTTCTCACGTTTATGCACTTCTCTTTGTCTCCACTATATCTAGTCTGCAAAGCATTCTCTTGCCTTGAAAAGTAAAACAGCCAATGGGTGCACACAGTAGCTCTGCCTTTTCTGTGGGAATAAGTTCCAAGACCCCCAGTGAATCTGTGGATACCTGAAACTGCAAATAGCACAAAACTCTTTATATGCTATGTTTTCCCCATACATACATACCTATGATAAAGTTTAATTTATAAATTTTTCAGAGTAAGAGATTCACAAAATAACTAATAATAAAATAAACAATTACAACAATATACTTTAATACAAGCTGTGTGAATGTAGTTTCTCACTCTCTCTCTTTCTCTCTTCTCTTGAAATATCTCATTGTTTGTGGTAGTATTTGACTGTGGTTGACCACAAGTAACTGAAACCATAGATAAGGAGACACTACTGTATTCTTGCCTCTAGTCTTAGTTCTTTCTCAGACATTTCTTCGCTCTCTTGGCAGGCGCATTTCTACACCAATATATGTTCTATGTCATTTTAGTTTTAAGCCAACTCACTGGATTTATTCTTAGAATAAAACCTCAAACTCTGATCATGTTTAGCAAAGCTCATCAAGATCTAGTTCCTGAATTATTTGCCAAATTTGCCTCCTGCCCTTCCCACTTGCCTATGTACAAAATGTTTCCCTTTTCTGTGAAAAACAATAACCCTTTTTTTCTTGTGTTCACCTAATGAGTTCATTCTCATTGGTACTCTTATTCAACATCACTACCTCAGAATTCTTAGAAGTCATGTTGCATTACACAATAGCCAGACAGATGCAAAATTCAGGTGATGAAAAATGAAATGACACAAATATGATGCTTTTAATGAAAGATGTTGATATTTCATAATTTGATAAATAAAATATTGATTAATTGTGGTTTAATTTATGTCATGAATCAAAATATTGTCATAAAAATAAAATGCTAAATATATAAGATAATTAAAATCATAGAAAAGAGGCACTAAGGAAAACTTTTTAGAAAAATCCTGAATTTCCCACGTTTGTTGTATGATTTTGTCTTAATTTAAAAATGATTTGTGGAGAAATAGATAAGGCAGTCTTTTGGTGCTTGTGGCACCTATTCTGGCTGGGTTCACACTTCATAATCTCAAAGCTTTGCTTTTTGCTGTGCTCTCTAAGAGTACTCTAGGCTCTGTCCAATACAGAGCTTTGGACACACATTTGTTTTTTAATTTTATCTTTATCTGCTAAAGAAAGTAGCATCATGGTTCATGCTTAAAGGGTCTGTGCCAGCTCCTGAATATATATTTGTCACATTAATGAATGACTGATTCTTTCAGCAGAATAAGAGCATGAAAGATGTGGCTATTACTAATTATTAATCAAACAAAATTATTTCATAAACAACAATATATGAAATTGATTAATCTTTCTTGTTATCTATCAATAGGTTATATTCAGAATATATTGAGCATAAATTTCATTGTAACTGAGTAAATCATGAAGAAACTTGTAGAATATATTCTAAATATGTAATAAAAATGTTATTAAAAATGAATAAGAAAGTAAGACTAATTCAATACTTTGTTGAGTCCTCATGAATGGGATTAGTCTTCATATAAGAACAAGCCAAATAGCTAACTAGTTCTCTTTGCACCATGTGAAGACACGAAAAGAAGTCAGCCATTCATAATCTGGAAGAAAGTATTTATCAAAATCTAACCATGCTGGCATCCTCATTGCAGACTTCCAGCTTCTAGAACTGTGAGAAATATGTTTCTGTTATTTATGAATCTCCCAATCTAAGGTACTTTGATATAGCAGCGTGAACTAACATGCTGGCTATAGGAGAAGCAGCACCATATATTGGGCTGATTCAGAGTATATAGAGCATTTTGGAGAAACTTACCTCAGCCCTGCAAAATATTGCCAGCTACTTGACACTTTTATTAGTCTGTTCTAACACTGCAATAAAGAGCTACCTGAGACTAGGTAATTTATGAAGAGAAGAGATTTAATTGACTCACAGTTACATAGGCTGTACAGGAAGCATGACTGGGAGGCCTCAGGAAACTTACAATCATTGTGGAAGGCAAAGGGGGAAGCAAGCTAGTCTTCCATGGTGGAGCAGGAGAGAGAGAGTGAAGGAGGAAGTGCTACACACTTTTACACGACCAGATCTCATGAGAACTCACTCACTATCTCCAGAACAGCAAGAGGAAAATCCATCCCCATGATCCAGTCACCTCCCATCAGGCCCTTCCTCCAACACTGAAGATCACAGTTCAACATAAGATTTGTGGGGGACACAGAGTCTAACTACATCAGCACTGTAACTGAGTCTTTAAAGGGCTACTTTACTGTTCTATGAAGTCATCTCCTTCAGTACATTGGGGAACATGGCAAGATCAGTGCATTCCATTGCAGATTACCACAATTTTGTTGTGAAGGAAGTCTCTAGGTCACTGGCAATGCTGTGTGGAGTATTATGACAGTGGTTAAAACATTCTATCAGTCCCCGATGGTAATTGTGGCAGAAATACTGCATTTAGGGAAGGCAAATCTGTATGCATAGTGTCTATTCCAGTAAGAACAGTAAGAAAAAAATTCTGCCCCTTCCATGATAGAAGTGGTCCAACGTAACCAATCTGCCACCAGGTTGCTGAATAATCACCCTCGGAAATACTGTTGATCTCTGTTGCTGCTGGCAGATTGGGTACTTTGCAGTTGTCATAGCCAGGTTGGCCATGATGAGGAAGTCCATGTTGCTGAGCCCATGCATAGCTTCCATCTCTGCCACTATGAACCCTTTGTTCATAAGCCCATATGTCATCCCCAAATTTTCTCATCACAAGTTTTTCAATTATGTTTGTTTCTAAGCTCTGAACACCCAGCCACATTATTGCTTACAGCCGATGAATCAGTGTATAGGCACATGTGCCTATATGTTTTTCCAAGCAAAGTGAACAATCAGGTGTGCTGCTCTTAGTTCTGCCCACTGGTAATTTTGTTTTTCATCAGTGTTCTTCAGAAATGTCCAAAAAGCTGTTGTGCTACAGCTGTCCACTTTTGAGTAGTGCCTGCATTTTATGTATACCCACCTGTAAACTGAGCCCAAGTATTCTCTTTGTGTTAGCAAATTGTAGGGAACTCTTTCTGAGGCCATAGGTGCAGACTGGGAGAGAGAAGGCCGTGTAGCAGAGCAGGGACCATGGGCATTTGGACCACTTTTTCGTCTAACTTCCTTGTGCCTTCAGGACCTACTGGGGACCAATTACATATAGACCATTTTGATTTGATTATAAATTGCTGCTGTGTGTGCCTAAATGTGTGATGTAGTGAGTTACATGACATCTGGTTTATGATGGGTAGCTCAGATTGCACAGTAACTTGTCAACTCATGGTTAATCATTCAGGTTTTAATAAAGTCCAATAGCAGGCCAAGACCTATCTCTCAAAAAGAGAGTAGTTATCTACTTGCTCCAAAATCCTAAGGTATTGTGCAGCCAGTCACCTATAGGGATACCCCATTGGTTTCAAGGAGTATGCCTATTTGCCACTAACACTTCAAGCACTACTAAATCTGCAAAGTTATATGGTGGAGTGCCAGAACAACTAATTCAGCATCTTGGACCTGTTGCAGAACCTTCTGTTGTCCTTGGCCCCATTCAAATTAGCAGCTTTTCAGGTTACTTGTTGAATGGGTCACATTAACACACCTAAACATGTTGCCTACAAAATCCAAGTAGACCCACGAGGTATTGTTCCTCCTTCTTGATTGTAGGACAAGATAGATGCAACAACTTGTTCTTTACCTTAGAAGAAACGCCTTGACAAGCCCCATACCACTGAACCCCTAGAAATGTCAACAAAGACGGAAGCCTCCTGAATTTTAGTTATGAGTTGATGATTTTATTTCTCATCCTCTGACACACAAATGTCTTATCACTAAGTGTTAAGTAGTAATTACTTCTTCATTACTAGGAAATGTACTAGGTACTTTATGCAGCATAATGTCATCAAGATAATGAACTAGTATGATATTTTGTAAAAGATAAAGGCAATCAAGTTTGCTGCAAACTAAGTGATGACAGGGCTGAAGTGTTGAAATACTGAGGTAGAGCAGCAAAGGTGTATTGCTGGTTTTGCCAACTGAAAGCATACTGCTTCTGGTGAGTTTTATCGACAGTTATAATAAAAAGGGCATTTGTCAGACCAATAGCTGCATATTAGGTACCAGGGTATATGTGTTTTTTCTAGCAATGAAACCACATCTGGTAAAGCAGCTGCAATTGGCATCATCACCTGGTTGAGCTTTTGATAATCTACTGTTATTTCTCAAGATCCATTTGTCTTCAGCACAGGTAAAACAGGTAAGTGAAATGGAGATATGATGACGATCACTAGCCCCTACATCTTTCAAGTCCTTGATGGTAGCATTAATACTTGCAACCTCTCCATGAAGAACACAGTGTTACTTTGGTTCATTATTTTGTTACGCAGACGAAGTTCTAGTGGCTTCCACTTGGCCTTTTCCATTGTAGTAGCCCTCACTTCACTGGTTGGCAAACTAATGTAGGGATTCTGCCAGGTGTTGAATATGTCTATTCCAATTATGTTTTCTGGAATGGAGGAACTGACCACAGAATGAGTTCAGGGACTCACTGGGCCCACTATGAGATAGACTTGAGATAAATCTCCATTGATTACCTGACTTCCATAAGCCCCTACTCTGGCTGGTGGGCAATAGTGATTGATATTGTTTGGCTCTATGTCCTCACCCAAATTGCATGTCAAATTTTAATTCCCACGTATTAAATGTGGGGACTGGTGGGAGGTGATTGGATAATAGGGGTCGTGTCTAATGTTTTGGCATCATCCCCCAATGCTGTCTTATGATAGAGTTCTCCAGACATCTGGTTGTTTAAAAGTGTGTGGAACTTCCCCCCCATCATGTTCTCTATCTCCTGCCACCATGTGAAGTAGACCTGTGTTTCCACTTCACCTTCCACCATGATTCTAAGTTTCCTGAGGCCTCCCAGTTATGCCTGATAAATTTTGAGTCAATTTAATGTCTTTTCTTCATAAATTTCCCAGTCTCAGGTAGTTCTTTATACCAGTGTGAAAATGGACTAATACAGTAAATTCATATCAGGAGAGTGGGACACTGCTATAAAGATACCTGAAAATGTGAAAGTTACTTTGGAAGTGGGTACTGGGCAGAGGTTAGAACAGTTTGGAGGGCTCAGAAAAAGACAGGAAGACGTGGAAAAGTTTGGAACTTCCTAGAGCCATTCTGAATTATTTTGACCAAAATGATGATAGTGATGCAGACAATGAAGCCCAGGCTGAGGTGGTCTCAGGTGGAGATGAGAAACTTATTGGGAACTGTAGTTAAGGTCACTACTGCTTTAGTAAAGAGACTGGTGGCATTGTTCCCTTGCCCTAGAAATCTGTGGAAATTTGAACTTCAGAGAAATGATTTAGGGTATCTGGCCTTAAAAATTTCTAAAGCAACAAAGTGTTAAAGATGGGGCCTGGCTGTTTCTAATAGTGTATGCTAATATCTCTGAAGAAAGATATGGTTTGAATTTGGAACTTATATTGAAAAGAGAAGCAGAGCATAAAAGTTTGAATCACTCACCTGAGGTCAGGAGTCAGCCTGGACAACATGGCGAAACCTCATCTCTACTAAAAATACAAAAACTAGCTGGATGTGGTGGCACGTGTCTGTAATCCCATCTACTTGGGAGGCTGAGGCAGGAGAATCGCTTGAACCTGGGAGGTGGAGGTTGCAGTGAACTAAGATTGTGCCACCACACTCTAGCCTTGGGGACAGAGTGAGAGTCCATCTCAAAAAAAAAAAAGAAAAGAAAGAAAGAAAAAAGAAAAACCCATTTTATAGGAAGGAATTCAGGGCTGCAGAAATTTGTGTAAGTAAAGAGGAGCAGAATGTTAATAGCCAAGACAATGCAAAAAATGCATTCAAGGTGTTTTGAAACCTTCATGGTAGCCCCTCCCATTACAAGCCTGGAGGCCTGGGAGGGAAAAATAATCCCTGAACCAGGACAAGGGCCCTATCCCTATTTCTCTGTACAGTCTCAGGACACAGCACTTTGCATCCCAGCAGCTCCAGCTCTAGGCATGGCTAAAAGGGGCCAAGATAGAGCTCAAGCTGCTGCTTGAGAGGGTGCAAACCACAAGCATTGGTGGCTTCCACATAGTGTTGGACTGCAAGTGTGCAGAAGGCAAGAGTTGAGGCTTGGGAGCCTCCACCTAGATTTTAGAGGATGTATGAAAACACCTGGATGTCCAGGGAGAAGTCTGCTGCAGGGGCAGAGCCTTCACTAGGAAGCTCTACTAGGGCAATGCAGAGGGGAAATGTGGAGTTGGAGCCCAAAAAGAGTCCCAGCTGGGGCACTCCTTTGTGAAGCTGTGAGATGAGGGCCACAGTCCTCGAAATCCAAGAATGGTAGATCTACCAACTGTTTGCACCATGCATTTGGAAAAGCTTCGGATAGTCAACCTCATCCCATGAAAGCAGCTGTAGGGGCTATGCCCTGAAGACCCACAGGGGTGAAGCTGCCCAAGGGCTTAGGAGCCTACCCCTTGTGTCAGTGTGGCCTGATATGAAACATGGAGTCAAAGGAGATTTTGGAGCTTTAAGATTTATTGATGGCCTTACTGGTATTGGACTTCCATGGGGCCTGTAGCCCTTTTGTTTTGATCAATTACTCCCTTTTGGAATAGGAGCATTTACCCAATGCCTGTATCCCCATTGCATCTTAGAAGTAACTAGCTTGTTTTTTTATTTTATTTTATTTTACAGGCTCATAGGTGGGAGAGACTTGCTTAGTCTCAGATGAGACTTTGGACCTGTACTTTTTGGTTAGTGCTGGAATGAGTTAAGTTAAGACTTTGGCAGACTGTTGGGGTGACATGATTATGTTTTGAATTGTGAGAATGACATGAGATTTGGAAGAGGCCAGGAGTAGAATGATACAGTTTGGCTTTGTGTCCCCAACCAAATCTCATGTTGAATTGTAATCCACACATGTTAAAGGTGGGGTCTAGTGGAATGTGATTGGATCATGGAGGTAGTTTCTAATGGTTTGTCACCATCCCCCTAGTGTTGTCTCATGATAGAATTCTCACAAGATCTGGTTGTTTAAAAGTTTGTGTGTGGCTGCACGTGGTGGCTCACACCAGTAATCCCAGTATTTTGGGAAGCCAAGGCAAGCATATCACCTGAGGTCAGGAGTTTGAGACCAGCCTGGTCTACACGGTGAAACTTTTTCTCTACTAAAAATACAAAAATTAGCCAGGCTTCCTGGTGGGCACCTGTAATCCCAGCTACTCAGGAGGCTGAGGCAGGAGAATCACTTGAACCTGGGAGGCAGAGGTTGCAGTGAGCTGAGATCACGCCACTGCACTCTAGCCTGGGTGACACAGCAAGACTCCATCTCAAAAAAAAAAAAAAAAAAAAAAAAAAGCATGTGTCACTTCCCCCTCTTACTCTCTCTCTCCTACCACCATTTGAAGAAGGTCCTTGCTTCCCCTTTACCTTCTACCATAATTGTAAGTTTGCTGAGGCCTCCCAGGCATGCTTCCTGTTAGGCCTACAGAAAGGTGAGCCAATTAAATCTCTTTTTGTCATAAATTACCCAGCCTCAGGTAGTCCTTTATAGCAGTGTGAAAATAGACTAATACAGTGATGTTTTGGGTCTCCCGGAATTAATGTCAGTTCAGGACCAGTGTCCAGTAGTTCCCAAAAGGCCTGATTATTTTCCATTATTCAATGCACAGTTATTTAGATAAAAGACCATAGGTTTCTTCATTCAAGGGGTTCTAAGTCTGTAGAACCTAGTTCTGGGAATTGATTGTGGGGTCATGACTTTTTGTGATTAAAATTAGCCTTTTGTTGACTTGACCTAGAACTTTTGTATTTAGATAGATCAAATAAGAACTTAGCAGGCTTTTTGTCTACTTCACTTCTAGAAATTTCATGATCGACTAGTCCATGCCATAGGTCTGTGCAAGTGAGACTATTCTGATTGTTGCTTTGACAATGCTATCCATTAAGATTACCACGCTCACCTTTCCTTTCATCATTGAATGCTGCCACTTGGTCACTGCCACTCCAGGATCCAATTACCACTACCGCATTTAGGTTTCCCAGATCAGTGACTGCAATTCCCACTGAGAGGTCTGGTTTACAGACTAGCAGTGACAGAGCTTTTCAAGGAAGCCAGGGCTCCACTCACAAATTGTTCTCACAATATTGTAAATGGTATGTCTTCTAGACCCTCCCAGTGGTCTTCAATGACAAATTCACTCTAACAGTTCAATTTCCCTAAGCCTTTTTATCCCTTCGTCTGCATTATACCAAGGCATATTTGGAATTTCCTATTTGCTTACTGTGGGCAACTTTTTGGCTCATATTTTAACCTACCAACCAACCAAACTTTAGAGCTCTCTCAAATTTCTCAAGCTGCAACAGTAAATACAATATCTCTGCTTAGTGAACTCATATCAATAAACTTAAACCGATCCAACTTTATGCTCCTTTCACTATTATCCCACGTTCTCAATATCTATTCCCACACACGTACCTTAGATTTGTCTATAAATTATAAAACTCACATGGTTCTTTGAAGTCTAGCATACTTCTTCTTGGGTCACATTTGATACCTCACCTTTAGAGGGATGCTGGAACTTCATTTGAGTTATAGAAGTAGAAGCAAAATGGGGTGGTACGGGTAAGTCCTGAGAAAATTAGCATTGTCTTGCATGACAGCTGCCTTAGGGAAGCCACTACAGTTTTCTCAGGCATTGTAGGGTTACTCTGCTCAGTTATGGATGGAGCAGTCACTACAACTGGGGTTGGGGTAGTAACTTGTAGAGGGTTGGGGGAGGCCATTTCGCTAGGGGTGGGGAGACCATTTCTACTGGAAGTGAGCACTCGTTTGTTGATAAAACGTATTAGAATTTAGGGGCTCAATGTTCCAATTTAATCTGGGGTTCACACATGTTCACATGAAAAGTTATGGCATCTCATTCTTTCTCAATCAATGCCCTCACTTTAACCGTAGACACCCTATGAAGCTGGGAGTTCAACTTGCATTGTAATTTAGTCAATTGGCAGATGAAATTCTGTGTTTCATTGTCAGCTGTTTCAGCTTTGTGGCTACAGGAAATAAGAAGCTCCTTCAGGGCATATTTAGATGCCTTCAGGTCATTTATACAGTGCTTGAGTTTAGAATTTAAATCCCTGAACTTATCCTTTTCTTTTGGCACTTCATCCAGAGCTATTATAAGCAAAAAGCCACTCCCGTTGTATTCATTAGTTTTTCAAAAATATTTGAAAATATAATATACAGAGCCACTTAGCTCCTTGCTTCTTATAAGTGGCTAACTAGGATTATTTAATGGACATATTTTGTATAATTCTATCACTAGATTACACTATGGACTATCAGCACTCTCCTTATGAAAAATAGACTCATTAGAATCTTTATTTTACTTCTTTTTTTTCATCTTTTGTTTTAAGCTCAGGAGGTACACATGCAGGTATATTACATGGATAAATTGTGTTTCACTGGGATTTTGTGTACAAATGATTTTGTCACCCAAGTAGTAAGTATAATATCTGACAGGTAGTTTTTTGAACTTCACCCTCCTCCTAACCTCCTGCCTCAAGTAGGCCTCACTGTCCATTGTTCTCATCTTTGTGTCCATGTGTACTCAATGTTTAGCTTCCACTTATAAGTTTGAACATGCGGTGTTTGGTTATTTGTTTCTGCATTAATTTGCTTAGGTTGATGGCTTCAAACTGCATCCATGTTGCTGCAGATGACATGATTTCATTCTTTTTTATGGCTGTGGAGTATTCCATGGCACCTATGTACCACATTTTCATTATCCAGTCTACTGTTGATGGGCATCTAGGTTGATTCCATGCCTTTGTTACCGTGAATAGTGTTGCAATCAACATACAAGTGCATGTGTCTTTTTGGTAAAAGAGTTTATATTCTTTAGCGTATATACCAAGTAATAGAATTGCTAGGTTAAACGGTATTTCTGTTTTAAGTTCTTGGAGAAATCTCCACACTGCTTTCCACAGTGACTGAACTAATCTACCTTCCCACCAACAGTGTATAAGCAATCCTTTTTCTCCACAACCTTGCCATATGTTATTTTTGACATTCTAATTATAGTCATTCTGACTGGTATGAGATGGTATCTCATCACGGTTTGATCCACATTTCTTTAATGATTAGTGAGTGATATTGAGCATTTTGTCATAATTTGTTGGTTGCTTGTATTACTTTATTTTCACATTGCTATAAAAATACTGTGAGACTGGGTAATTTATAAAAGAAAGAGGTTTAATTGACTCACAGATCCACTTGGAGGCCTCACAAAAGTTACAATTATGGCAGAAGGTAAAGGGGGAGAAAGGACCTTCTTCACATGGTGGCAGGAAAGAGAAGTGCAAGCAGGGGAAATGCTAGATGCTTAAGAAACCATCAAATCTTGTGAGAACTCACTTGTTATCATGAGAACAGCATGACCTAAACTGCCCCCATGATCCAATCACCTCCTACCAGGTCCCTCTCTCGGCACATGGGGATTAGGGGATTACAATTCAAAATGAGATTTGGGTGGGGACAAAGCCAAACCATATTACTGCTTATATGTCTTCTTTTCAGTAGTGTTTCTTCATGTCATTTGCCCATTTATTAACCGGGTTGTTTTTTGCTTGTTGATTTATGCTTCTCATGAATTCTAGATATTAGAGTTTTGTCAAATGCATAATTTGCAAATATTTTCTCCCATTTTGTAGGTTGTGTTTATTCTCTTGAGTTTCTTTTGCCGTGCAGAAACTCTTTAGTTTAATTAGGTCACACTTATCTATTTTTGTTTTTGTTGCAATTGCTTTTGGATACCTCCTCATGAAATATTTGCCAGAGACTATGTCCAGAATGGTAGTTCCCCTGTGTTCTTCTAGGGTTTTATAGTTATAGGTCTTATATTAGAGTCTTGAATCCATCTTGAGTTTATTTTTTTATATGGCTAAAGGAAGGGGTCTGGTATCAGTCTTCTTCACATGACTAGATGGTTGTCCCAATAAAATGTATTGATTAAGGATTCCTTTTCCCATTCTTGTTACTTTCAACTTTGTTGAAAATCAGATGGTTGCAGGCATGCAGCTTTATCTCCATATTCTTGAACCTGTTCCATTGGTCTTTTGGTCTGGTTTTGCACCTGT
This sequence comes from Homo sapiens, assembly GCF_000001405.40. NCBI lineage: Eukaryota > Metazoa > Chordata > Mammalia > Primates > Hominidae > Homo > Homo sapiens. The sequence continues at coordinate 24,888,528 of NC_000005.10, read as the reverse complement.
ACTGTGATGTTTTGACTACTGTAGTTTTCTAGTATAGTTTAAAGTTAAGTAGCATGATGCTTCCAGCTTTTTTTTTTTTTTTTATCTTGCCTAGGATTATTTTGGCAATTCTAGCTTTTTTTGTTGTTTCTATATAAATTGCAGAATAGTTTTTTTTTTCTAATTTTGCAAAATATAATGTTGGTAATTTGAGAGGAATAACATTAAATCTGTAAATTGCTTTGGCCAGTATGGCCATTTAACTATACTAATTCTTTCTGTCCATGAGAATTAAATGTTTTTCTATTTGTTTGTGTTTTTTCTGATTTCTCTCAGCAGTGTTTTGTTAGTCTTATTATGGAGATCTTTCACTTCCATAGTTAGCTGCATTCCTAGGTATTTTATTCTTTTTATGGCTATTCTAAATGAGATTATATTCTTAATTTGGCCATCAGCTTGAATGTTATTGGTGTATAGAAATGATTTTGTATCCTAAAACTTTACTGATGTTTTTATCACTTCTAGAAGACTTTTGGCAGAGACTATGAGGTTTTCTATCACATCATCCGCAAAAAAAAAAAAAAAAATACTTTAAAATGCTCTCCCTTCAACGAGTGCACAGTATAATTAATTAATTATAAGTAATTAATTAGATAACAAATTAATTACTGAAACGTTAGATAAAAAGAAAATATGTGTGAAGTTGAATGTCAGAAAGGGTTAATTTGAAATAATAGCAGAGTGTTGCCTTTTTTTATTATTATATTGTAGGTTCTGGGGTACATGTGCAGAACATGCAAGTTTGTTACATAGGTATACACATGCCACGGTGTTTGCTGCGCCCATCAACCTGTCATCTACATTAGGTATTTCTCCTAATGCTATCCCTCCCCCAGCCCCCCACCTGCCAACAGGCCTGCTGTGTGATGTTCTCCTCCCTGTGTACATGTGTTCTCGTTGTTCAACTCCCACTTACGAGTGAGAAAATGTGGTGTTTAGTTTTCTGTTCTTGTGTTAGTTTGCTGAGAATGATGGTTTCCAGCTTCATCCATGTCTCTGCAAAGAACATTAACTTATTCTGTTTATGGCTGCATAGTATGCCATAGTATACATGTGCCACATTTTCTTTATCCAGTCTATCATTGATGGACATTTAGCTTGGTTCCAAGTCTTTGCTATTGTGAACAGTGCTGCAATAAACGTACCTGTGCACATGTCTTTATAATAGAATAATTTATAATCCTTTCGGTGTATACCCAGTAATGAGATTGCTGGGTCAAATGACATTTCTAGTTCTAGATCCTTGAGGAATCATCACACTGTCTTCCACAATGGTTGAACTAATTTACACTCCCATCAACAGCGTAAAAGCATTCCTATTTCTCCACATCCTCTCCAGCATCTGTTGTTTCCTGACTTTTTAATGATCGCCATTCTAACTGGTGTGAGATGGTATCTCACTGTGGTTTTGGTTTGCATTTCTCTAATGACCAGTGATAATGAGCTTTTTTTCATATGTTTGTTGGCTGCATAAATGTCTTCTTTTGAGAAGTGTCTGTTCATATCCTTCACCCACTTTTTGATGGGGTTTTTCTTTTTCTTGTAAATTTGTTGGAGTTCTTTGTAGATTCTGGATATTAGCCCTTTGTCAGATGGATAGATTGCAAAAATTTTCTCCCATTCTCTAGGTTGCCTGTTCACTCTGATGATAGTTCCTTTGGCTGTGCAGAAGCTCTTTAGTTTAATTAGATCCCATTTGTCAATTTTGGCTTTTGTTGCCATTGCTTTTGGTGTTTTAGTCATGAAGTCTTTGCCCACTTTTATGTCCTGAATGGTATTGCCTAGGTTTTCTTCTAGAGTTTTTATGGTTTTAGGTCATATGTTTAAGTCTTTAATCCATCTTGAGTTAATTTTCGTATAAGATGTAAGGAAGGGATCCAGTTTCAGCTTTCTGCATATGGCCAGCCATTTTTCCCAACACCATTTATTAAATAGGGAACGCTTTCCCCATTACTTGTTTTTGTCAGTTTTGTCAAAAATCAGATAGTTGTAGATGTGTGGCATTATTTCTGAGGCCTCTGTTCTGTTCCATTGGTCTGTATATCTGTTTTGGTACCAGCAATGGTGATTTGGTTACTGTAGCCTTGTAGTATAGTTTGAAGTGAGGTAGTGTGATGCCTCCAGCTTTGTTCTTTTTGCTTAGGATTGTCTTGGCTATATGGACTCTTTTTTGGTTCCATATGAAATTTAATGTAGTTTTTTTTTCCAATTCTGTGAAGAAAGTCAATGGTAGCTTGATGGGAATGGCATTGAATCTATAAATTACTTTGGGCAGTATGGCCATTTTCATGACATTGATTATTCCTATTCATGAGCATGGAATGTTTTTCATTTGTTTGTGTCCTTTCTTATTTCCTTTTGGCAGTCATTTGTAGTTCTCCCTGAAGCAGTCCTTCACATCCCTTGTTTTATTCCTAGGTATTTTATTCTTTTTGTAGCAATTGTGAATGGGAGTTCACTCATGATTTGCCTCTCTGGTTGTCTGTTACTGGTGTATAGAAATGCTTGTGATTTTTACACATTTATTTTGTATCCTGAGACTTGGCTGAAGTTGCTTATCAGCTTAAGGAGATTTTGGGCTGAGACGGTGGGATTTTCTAAATATACAATCATGTCATCTGCAAACAGAGACAATTTGACATCTTCATTTCCTCATTGAATACCCTTTATTTCTTTATCTTGCCGGATTGCCCTGGCCAGAACTTCTACTATATTGAATAGGAGTGGTGAGAGAGGGTATCCTTGCCTTGTGCCAGTTTTCAAAGGGAATGCTTCCAGTTTTTGCCCATTTAGTATGATATTGGCTGTGGGTTTGTCAGCTCATCCGAGTGTTGTCTTTAGAATGTTGAGCTGGGTATCCGGGGGAACAATTTTCATTCTGCTTGATCATTCTGCTGTTTTATTTTTTTCAATATATTAGATGTCTAGATAGTTCAGGATGACTAGAACTATTATGCTGTGTTCCAAACCACTTTTTACATTTTATTCAAAATGCACCATGTAGTTTCCTATTTTAATAGAGTGAAAAATAAACTCCAAAACAATGCAACTTTTTTCTCTCTAGTTTTATCTTCAGCACAGCTTGACTCATCATAATTTTACCTTTAAGTATCACCTGCATTAATAAACATACAACTAGGTATCAATAAATTTCTGTGGAAAAGGAAATTATCACAAGATCAAAATTGAAGAACCAGTCTCATTTCATCTAATATGAAAATGATCAACATATATAAAATTGTATGTGCATTTCTATTTTTACTATTGGTTTAAAGTAAATTGGCAAGTGAACATCTCAGCTCTTACATACTGTTTCTGATGAGAATGAATTATTTCCCATTATGAGCTTCATTGATTACATTTTTATTGTGATATGCTTATATTTCATAATTTAATTTTAAAATTATTATTCTATTTGATGAATGCTAGCAACATGTACATGTGTCTTCAAATGATCAGATATACACTTTGATTTCTTTCTGGGTTTCATAGTTCTAATAACATGAACCATTGTCCACACAATCCAAACTTGCTTTTTCCTGTTATGAGTAGGTGTTATATTTGTATATCTTTCCCCTCCCTCTACTGTATTCAGATAGAAGAACGAATAAAAATGCCAATATTCTGAAAGGTTTTTCAGTTTCCTGTATCATTTATTAACGTTTTTGTTATTCCTGGGAACATCTCATGTGGGATCAGTTGAGGAGTTTGATGAGACATTACCAATTTATCACCAGACTCTCATAGGACAAAAACTATACTAAGAGGTAAAAACTACTTTCTCGCTCTCTCTCTCCCACTCCCTCTCTATATATAGTTGTAGATGTGTATGCGTGTATATATATATAAATATATATAGTTTCAATAACTTGAAAGCTGCTTACAGTCATTTATTCTGAAGACAACACCTAAAAATAAATGTTTCTATAATATACAACTCTTAGCATATGAATTAATTTGTAAATTATTTATACACAGCCTGTGGGTACTAAAAAAATATAGGTGAAGCAATGATTCCCGTAGACTAGTTACTTAGCTAAGGAATAATAAATGAAATAAAACTTAAACTAGGCTTTAAGGGAAGAAATAGAACTTAGTAAAAAAAAAAAAAAAAGAGGAGAATCAAGAAAGAGACACGCTGAGGAAATTGCAAAAGTTGAGGAGATATGCATTGTCACAGAAGAAATCATTTTGGCATTAATGGTACCTTGATGAGGAACAGCACCTTAGACAAGAATAGAGAGGCAGAGGAGAAATCAGATTGTGCAGAACCGGAGACATTAAGCAACTTGAAGTTATACTGCAAAATAACGCAAATATTTTAGGTGTCTTTTTCTCATAGTATTCATAATGAACAGTGATTCTATTGTAAAATGCATGCATTTAGTAGAAATTTATAAGTTACAGAAAAAAGACACTAATTACATGTCAAGAGAAATCTAAATGCAATATTCCTGCTATGTTAAACATGGTGTGCAATTTATTGAATTAAGGATAATCAAATTGCAAAACTTCTAAAAAAGTGCAAGATTTGATAGCTGCAATAGAAGACTTTGAATAATAAAAGAAAAAAGATGAGTTGGTGAAGACATAATCTTTCTTCATCTAGGTAATAACAATGTTTGAGATGTTATTAACATAATTATAATAGTTGTACTGTCTTTATTATTTAGTATTTTCCTAGACAGATATCTTACTGTTTTTCTATAAGAATCTAAAAACGGTCTTTAGAAATATATCAGTATTTTTGTAATTGGAAAAATCATTAATTTTACATGAGTATTTTGTTCTCATTCCTTTTTTTAAGACTGAGCAGTTTAAGATATTTATGAATTATCCAAAATAAGACATTCAAAAAAGTTTATATGCATCTGGAAACAACACAACCCCCATGTATTAAATAAATGAAGACAAACAAACTTTTACCTTCCTATAATTTTTAATGAGAGTCTTGGAATTGCTTTGCTTCTGGTTTATAATAGCATGAAATAATAGTGCAGAGTGGAGAGAGTATTTTTTGCCTTTCAAGAGTTCTGATAATGCAGCTTTTAAGTCTTTTCAATAAAGTAGATTTATAAAAACCGTTAAGGACAAATAAAAAACAAAATAAAAAGTTGTTATGAAATAAAACAGAGAAACAGCAAATAAACCGAGGCAGTTGAGCAAAACAGTGTAATTGAAATTTAAAGTTCCCTAGTTTGTAGTTCCAAATTTCCAACAGTAAGGTACAGTCTATTCAGTTCTGTTCTTGCTGATTGAATCAAGCAGGAATGAGTTCACACCATATAAATAAATAATCAAATAACTTGGCATTTGAGGGCAATCACATGAAGTTTGTGGAGTGCACAGATTTGGAAAATCAAACTTCCTCTGGAGTCCAAAGTCTTTGGCTGATCCAAGAGCATAAGAACAGAAGTTCTGGCAAATCCATACAATAAATAATCTCCCTCTAAATTTGTGGATATCTCACCTCTAAATTTATAGATATCCCTGTCATCAGACACAGAGAACCTTTTGGATATTCAATTTTTATCTCTTAGAACTATAAGAACATTATAAGGTTTTTTGAAATATAGAAAATTGTAACAGATAAATGTTTCTCATAGAGATTGACAATTGGAATTATAATGGACTTTTCCTCAGAAATAATAGCCAAAGTAAAAGCAGCATCTACATTGTTTTTCTGTACTTATCACTGGAACTTTGTAATTAACTACATCCAGTTAGTATATAAATCAAGGAAAACAACTCTACTCTGGGACTTTCCTTTGAGAGGAAAACTACTGCCTCCATTGGTTAGGGTCATTAAGAATGTAATGGCCTCTTAAGCCTGAAATCTAGAGGAGTGAATCAGAATGTCCTAATGTACTGGTTAATGATGCTTTTTTATTACCAATTACCAGCAAAACCCATTGCATTAAAATGAACAGTCTTGGATTAAATGTTAGTATGGATATCACAGTCTGTTCATAGCTATATGTATTAATAATGTATATGTATCATCATATTCTTTATAAAAACAGCATTTTATAAAATGTAAATGAATGAGTGAATAAATGAATGGCTTCAGCATAGTATGTGACTATTAATAAATATCAAAACTGCTTATATTCCATAAATATTTGGAATTCATGTAGTGTATATATAGGTAGTTAATTTCATTCAAAATTTCAATATTTTCCCTCAGAAATGCATAACCCCATCTAACTGCAACGAAACATCCAAAAATCCCAAATGAGGAAGATTCTACAAAATGTGTGACCGCTGCTGCTGTCAAGGTCATCAAGAAAAGGAAAAAAAGAAACCATCACAATCCAGAGGAGCCCAAGAAGATATGACAACTAAATATTAGGTAGCCACCTGGATGGGATCCTGGAATAGAAAAACGGCAGTAGGGAAAAACTAATGAAGTAAAATTAAACTCTGGAGTTTAGTTAACAGTGATGTACTTAAATTGGTTCTTTCACAGTGACAAGTATACTATAGAGGTTCTTAAAATTGACATTTTATTGAAGAGAGTACAATAAAATTATAATCACCAAACCAATTCTTCATACGTCCTTGGTATCTTTGCAATATTTAAGGCACAATAAGTTCTTACTAAACATTATAGGTTTTTGGAAACTTCTAATTTAAGCAAGCAACACATAACAAACCTGGGCTGGGCCAGTGGCTCACACCTGGAATACCAGTATTTTGGGGAGCCAAGGTGGGCAGATGGCTTGAGCTCAGGGGTCCAAGACCAGTCTGGAAAATATGACAAAACACTGTCTCTACAAAGAAACAAAAAACAAAAGTTAGCCAGCTCGGTGGTGGATGCCTGTAGTCACAGCTACTTGAGAGGCTGAGGTGGGAAGATCACTTGAACCCAGAAGGTGGAAGCTAGAGTAAGCCGTTTCACACCTTGGTGACAAAGTGAGACCCTGTCTCCAAAATACATATATACATACACACATACATACATATAATAGATCTGATTTATTTTTCTCATCAGCATCATACTATCAAACTACTTTGAAGGAAATGATGTTACTCAGGATCTGCTACATGTCTTTTTACTTAAAGTTGCAATTGCCAAAAACCCACTGACAATGTTAAGTGAGGATACTGTACTTCATTTGTGGGGAATACTTTTCTTTATCATTTTATGGCAAGTTAAATGAATTAACAAATTAGTTAAACTAGTTGTTAAAGTAAATTAGTTGTTAAATTAATTGACAATTTTTAACTCAAAGTAATACAGAATAATCTAGGTATCTCAAGTTTTAAACAATGAACATTTGTAATAGTGCTTCAGAACATAGATGTCTCAAAATTTTCTACAGAAATATTAGCACTTATATCTTAATATTTTCTACAGTAATTATAGCACTTAACAGGATAGTCAGAAATAAGACCATGCTAAAAGCAGGAAACTAATGTGAATAAGTCAAAAACAAGAAAAGAAATATAGAATATTTATTTTCTTCTCTCCATATTAATATGTGCATTTTCCCCAAGTCCACATTCAATACTCATAACTCAAGTAGATATGCATTGTTTCCACATAATTTAAAAACTTGTGAGATGAATGAGTAAATAATTTTAACTGAAACTAATACTAAAAGCTATCAGACTAGTATTACACTAAAGGGGGTAATAGGAATAATCTAATACTCATGTAGCCTGTACACTAAAACTTCAATATCTTCATAAGTAACCATGAAACAAATGAGGAAAGAATGAGCACAAATATTTTAGCAATAGCAGATGTTTCATTTTCAGAGCCTATGGTGTCCATAAACATTGTTGGTTAGAAAGGCTCAAGGAGAGGGAGAGAGATGGGGGAATGACTTGTTGGTGGAGCAGTCAGAATACACAAAACATCTGGATTAAATTTGACATCTTATATGGGAGTGGTTTGTGGTACCCCAAAACAATTATAATAGTAATCTCTAAGATCACTGATCACAGATCACCATAATGGATATTATAATAATAAAAAGATTTTTAAATTGTACAAGAATTACCAAAATGTGACAAAGATACAAAGTGATCACATCCTGTTGGAAACATGGTGTCAACAGAATTCCTCATGTAGGGTTGTCAGAAACCACCAATTCCGAATAAACATAGTATCTGCAAAGAACAATAAAATGAAGCACAATAAAACAAGGCATGCCTGCATTTAAGATCCCAGACATTCTCTGAGGGGCAGGAATTTGAGAGTAGTTTACCTGGGTGGTTTGGTTCAAGGTCTGTCCCAAGGTTGCAGTCACGTCCATTGCCTGAGGCTGCACTCATCTCAATGTTCAACTGTGGTGGCATAATCAACTTCCAAGTTCACTCGTACGATTGTTGGCAGGAGGCTTTTCTTCTTTGCCATGTTGGTCTCTCCTTAGGATTGTTCATGATAGGGTTTCTCCCAAAGCGAGTGATATGAGAGAAAGAGCAGGTGAGCAAGAGGGCTCAAGATGGAATTCACTCTTCTATAATGTAATCTCAAAAGTGGCATACCATCACTTTTACCATATTCTATGTGTAACACGTATCAACCTTGGTAACAGAAGAAAAGTACACAGTTATAAATATGTGGAAATGGGTATCATTGGAGGCCATCTTGAAGGTTGGATACTGCAACAACTCCTGCTCTTCTAAGAGTTTACAGTTCTTTGGGAAAGGGTATCATAACCACCCCACATTGAGGAGGGCTATTCTATCCTCAGTGCATGCAAAGTAATAGACAGCAGCAACGGAACCATTCTATTATTCCAAAGCTTGACATTATGACAACATCAAGAGAAAAAATTATTTATTCCACCCCAATTCTAAAGTCTTTAACAGTCTATTTTATCTATTCTAATGAAAATTTGTGTAAAATAGTCTCTATTGAAAGATAGTCTAATATTACATTGAGAGGTAAACAGAGATATAAGACAAGCATTTTTAGATTAACTATTTAAATTTTATTTTTGTTTCATTGCATTAGACAAGCTGAAAAATTATGAATTACAAGCTTAAAAGTTATGAATTATGCATTAGGGAAGCATAAAAATTTATGTAATTGAATGGATCTAATTTCTGAACATAGTCAACCATATAATTATTTTACTATTGAAATGCATATCATTTAATTTTTTTCCAACCTAGTAGTAATTCATCAGAAAAAAATCACATTACTTTGGGTAGAAAAAGATATGTTTGTTTTAAATATCAACTTTTATAAGCACTTTTCAATGTAGTGTTTGAAAGTGGTAAATTCTGAACTGGAATTTTTCTTAACCAATTTTCAAAGCATTTGCCTTTCAAAGCATTGTTTAAAAGTACGCTCTATAGTGTAATCTTTATGAACCGATAAGGTCAATTCTAAAACAAACCAAAGTAAATACATCTCCAAAATTTGTACCATTACAATAGCAATTTTTAAAGAACGAAAGACAATAACATTTTTTCATTCTAATGTTTCCAAAATATATGCTTTCTTATATTGCTAAGTTGCACTGCTACACTGACAGCCATCAGGGGAATTAAAAAAAAAACAGTTATGAGCTGTTTCGAGAATTCAATATCCTGGCAACCTGCAGTTCATGACAGTTAGAGTCATGCTAATCAATTTGGAAATCATTCGGATATCATTTTATAATACCAGTGAGAGTAGAAGTGGCAAATTATTTAGCTTTATATTGGTTTAATTCCATAATTAAGTAATTGGACTTGGAACAAACAGTTTACTACTTCCGTTTTAATTAACATTTCACTGTATAACTACAGTACTCACTAAAAATACCATCTTCTGCATACAGAGCCAATTATGATATGCATTATTATAAGTAATAAAATGTTTTACTAATCAAACATTTATGTTGATCAGACATTTTTATGCAATGGCAATTATAAGAAAAGGAATCAGGTTACCAGTGATAAATGTTCTTAATTAGTGTTGAGTATGTCCAGATTAGTCATATTTTGTGTTCCACTTAAAATGTCCTTTCCTTAGAGAAATCTAGATTACTTTAAACAGTCATTTAAATATTTCAAGATTCTAGCTGGGAAATGTTATTCTTATTTGATACTCTATAATTATGACATGGTTTTATTACTAATACAGCTTTAGCTGGTGGGCAGATTTATCCACCTAGCAACAAAATTTTTACCAGCATAAAGAATTATAAACATTATGACTTCTGATTTGCACTTTTAATTTGGAACATCCCTCAGCTTAGAGTACTTAACCAGCAAATATATCACTAAATGTCTCATAAAAAAAGAACATTAAAATGAATCTTTTTCTTATTGAATTAATATTTGGCTCAATCTACAAGTGAAAATTCTAAGTTAATAGAATAATATCACAGTTTTATAAGTAAATATATTGAAATCAAATATTTGGATTATTGAAATATTTTACAATGAAACTAGTTATTCCAATATTTAGTAGAATTTTTGCCATTTGATAAATAATATGTTATAGCTGCAAAAGTATTGTATACTAGATTTAAACATTTTTAAAAGGGAGATAAAAATTATTGCACAGCTGACAATGACAAATGAACTCTTACTTGACTTTGTCTTCCTCCAATAGGCACTAAAATATTGGACAAATTAGAAGAAATTAGAAAAGAAGAAAGGTTTAAAAATCAGTGTCTTAAGTCTTCACTTTAAAAAATTAGGAAAGACATAAAAATTTAACCCAAGTAAGTAGAATTAAGCAAGAAATATATATGAGTGGATATAAATAAAATATAATTAAAATAAAGAAAATTAACCAAGACAGAAATTTATTCTTTGAAAAGTTTAATAGAACTGATAATTCTAAGGCTCAGTACATGGAGTCAGAATGGAAATTTCCAATATTAAGAACTAAAAGGGAGATATAGATGCTAGAGTCATTGCAAAGTAAAAAAGGAATATAATAATAAAATATGTGACACAAATTTGACAAATTCAATAAAGGGATAATTTTTTGAAAGATTGAATCTAATAAAATTGATCCAAGAGGAATGCAGAAACCTATGATCCTCTGTTTAATAGTAATTTAAATCTGTGATGACAAAATAACCCACAACTTCAGCCCAGATTGGCTTCATTCGTGGATTTTATCATACATTTAGGAAAAAATTAGGAGTAATCTCATTCAAACTGTTTAGAAAATAGCAAAAATAGAATATCCTTTGATTTTTTTGTGGGGCTAATACAGCCCTAGTACTAATTCTGAGAGTTATATTAGAAAGAAAGAAAGAAAGAAAGAAAGATAGAAAGAAAGAAAGAAAGAAAGAAAAGAAAAGAAAAGAAAAGAAAAGAAAGGAAGGAAGGAAATTTGGTGTCTCATAAAAATAGAAAACACCTTAAATATTAGCAAATCATATATAGTAAAATAACAAGTTGATAAAATATCATGACCAACTATATTCTAACCAATTAATGCAAAGTCAGTTTACTGTAAAAATAACCAAGTATATGTCCACATTAACACATTTTATATTACCACAGTAGGTACAGAAAAGTTATTTAACAAAATTCAACAATATTATTGACAAAACTGAGCAAACTAAAAACATATTTCTTAATCTGAATAAAGTTATCTATATGACACCTACAATTATCATCGTACTTATTGTGCAAATATTGAGCTTTTTAGTACTAAAGTAAGAAATGAGGCAAGGATGTCCACTATCACTGGTTCCATAGATTATTACTCTGGGGGTCTTAGCTATTTCCATCAGGCAAGAACAAATCAGTTGAAACCATCAGAAAGAAATATGCATAACTGACCTTCTGGCAGATCAGGTGATTATTTACACAGGAATCCCTATGGAATCTGCAAAAACTACCAGTATCCATAAGTGACATTAGCAAATTTGTAGGATACAAGGTCAATGTCTTTTAAAATTACATTTCAGACACTAGAAGCAAAACTTAAAAATTAATTTCAGACAAACATTACTTTTAAAATCATCGAAAACTATAAAATGCTTAAGAATATATTAAGCAAAACACATGCAAAACATTACCAAGACACTTTAAGTTACTGAAAGGAGATACTTAAGAAGCCATAAATAAATACAGAGACAGAATGAGCTAATGAATTGGAATATTTTATATTTATAGATTCAATTGTCCACACATTGATCTATATATAGATTTAATGCATTCCCAGTAAGAATGTAACATTCTTTTTGGAAAACATGAACAACTTTATTAAATTATTTTCATGAAAACCTAAAGGCTCTAGAATAGCTGAATAATCTTAAAAATGATGAATAAACTTTATTCCAATAATTACTACAATGTTAAAATAACCAGAAGAGTGTGGCATTTGTGTAAGAAAATCGAATAGATCAATGAAACAGAAGAGAGAAACCAGAGGTATTCTATGTTTATTTTCTACAAAGGTTCCAAGGAAGTTCAGTTTTGGTTAGATGGTAGAGAAAATAAATAAACCTTGAATCCTATCAAATGCTGGACTCTTAACACATTTAAAAATGAATCATGTACCTCACCCTAAATGCTGAAATATGAAAATTCATAAACTCATCAAATAATATCTTCATGGTAAAGAAGGATTTTTAATGAGATCACCTAAATCGTTAACTATCAAGAAAATTTGCTAAATTGACTTAATTAATATTAAAATTCCTGACATCCAAAGACACCATTAGCAAAATAAAGAATCAGCCATGAAGTCAGAGCAAATACTCACAATATATGCATCCAAGCAAGGACTATGATATAAAATTTACAATCAACTCTAAGAAATCAATAATTAAAAATACGACTAAAATGTGGTCATGGACACTTGAAAAAGGAAGATTAAAAAATGGTCAATAAGCAAATTAAATGCACACAGCATAATTAGTCATGAAGGAAATGAACTTACAATGAGATGAACCACAAACTTCCCTACTAAGTTGCTAAAATAAAAAATACAGACAAAATAAGTTGGAAATGCTGAAGAACAACTAAAACTTTTTATTATTTTGTTAGGAATATAAAATAGTAGAAACACTTCCGAAAATAGTTTGGCAGGTTTTAAAAAATATATCATATTATAGATAAATCTATTCTGTATTCCAGTAATTCCATTTCAAGGTACTTAGCCCAGAATTAAAAACGAGTCAACAAAACAACTTATACAGGAATGATTCTTGTAGAGTTATTCCTGTAATCAAAAATGGGAAACAAATTACATGCCCAGCAAAAGAAAAATGGAAATACAAATTATACTGAGTGAAAACACCAGAAACACAATTATTTACATTAGTTTTACTCTTAATAGACAAAACTCTAAAATACATCAAATATTTATTAAAATCAAGTTGGTAAAATAAATTATGATTTAAGTGTACAACAGAATACTATTCAGCAATAAAATAAAGTGCATTATGGTGCATGTAACTAAATTAGGTGAAAAAAGTAAGAAAATAATGTACACTCTATGATTGCAGTTTTTTGAAGATGAAGAAGATAAAAAATTATATCATGATGTAAAAAAAATCAGACCAAAGATTGCTTATGGTGGTGAGAATCTAGTGAAAAGTCATATAAGGGAACCACCTGGTTTGAAGAAAATTTTGTATATTTTAATTAGGTTTTATTATACTTACCTAAACTCATTGAATTTTACATTTAACATATGTGCATTTCAATGTATAGAAATTTTAACTAAAATAAAAGATTTACAAAGTTATCTGACTGTTTAGAAAAATATTGGACAAGAAAATTAGTAACTTAATTTTTGTCTGAAATATCTTATTTTCATCAACAAAAAAGTCAATCGAAATTTAATACTATTTACTGCATACAACAGCATATTCAAAATTTTATAATTCAAAGACCTCTGCTAAAGTTCATAATTCAAATGAGTCAAAACTTTAAAAGCTGCACTTAATGCTTTAATTTTAAAGGATGTTTTAAGAGATAATGTCAGAGGATTTTATAAACATGTAGAATTAGATTTATGATTTGACTACCATTTCAGGAAGTTGAGCATCTTTTTTATTTTAATATTGCTTTTTAAAAATAATTTCAGTTATTTTCATAACTTTGATAACACATTTTTTAACAAGGAAAAGCAAGTGATTCATTTAAAAGGAGCAAAACTGGCAATGTTCAACTCTTTTTAGAGATGATTTTATGACTTTATTTATGCTACAAATCCGATATCATTGGACATATTAAATTTATCACTTTGTATTATAAACCAAAGTTGTGCAGTGGTCTCTGCAAGCTTGAAAGTTAATTGGGTCATTAAATACACATTACAGTAAAAATAAAATAAAGAAAACTTTATTTTGCTTTGAAATATTGCTATTGCTTGTCTCAGAAATTTTGAAATACTGTGTTTTTAATGAATACAGCATTGTTTTATGCTTTTGTTAATAAGTTTTAACTCAATTCTTATTTAATAACTTTTTATTTTACAGTCATATTCATTTTTACATCTTCTCTTGTTGATTTTTAATGTTTCATTATGTTGTCAGAAAATAATAAAAATGGCACTATAACATTGAAATTTACTGAGGCCTGATGTGTGGTCTTTTTCACATGTCACTTCAGAAAATTACATTAGGTCTCAGGAAATTATTTTTCTTCTGTGTAAAATTTTTCCTTGTAAAATTCAAATTCAATCACTCATGCATTAAAAAGCTTATTTTATTGGATTTTGAAATAGGTGTGGTAAATCTCCAACTATATTTATCCTTTTACCTATATTCCCTTGTTTTATAAGTTACATGTTCTGTCAGTTGTTATAAATATTTAAGTTTCTATTGTTTAGTTTTGTATGTACCATTACGCTATTACCACAGTTTTTAGTTTCATTTAAGCATTTATATTAGCTCTCTATGGCTTATACTGTTTTTCACCTTACATTTGAGTTTGACTAACAGAAAATGCTACCATTGGGATGCTTTTGTTTTATAGTTGTCCTTTGTAGGTTTTCTTTCTTTCATTTCAGCATTTCTTTATCTTAGTTTTTAGTTATGTCTCTTACACAGAATATATTAATATTAAAATTCTATCTTAGGATCTGACCTCTATCAATAAACTTGATTAATTTTCTAATTACATTTGCTGTTATATTGAGACATGTTTCTTCCAAATCACTTATTCTCTTTTATGTAACCTTTCTTCTCCTTTCTTTTCTTCAATTGTTAAAAAACATCAGTCTTTTTCTGCTTGCTTTGATTCACATATGATAAATGGCTATATACATTCATTTTTCTCCTAATTAATTCTCTACAGTACCTGTTTATATTGTAAAATTTCTGCAAACTATCTTGCAAATCAATTAGATGTATCAGTGGTTTTAACATTTTTATTGTAAAATTATTTGTCATTGAATATTTCCTTATTAATATTCATGTTATTCCATAATCTTAGCCTAATATTCTAGCACGTAATTCACACAAAATAGTTTTTAACTAAAATTTTTTTAAACATAAATGTACTTGATTTATTCACTAGAACAACAAATACATAATTTTAAAATGAACCTTTTTAGAATCAAATAATAGGAAAAAAATCACATTAAGTATTACCAGAGAGTGTTATCATATATATTATTCAGGATTCTCCAGAGAGACAGAACACATAAGAGATAGATGGATGGATGGATAGATGGATAGATGGATAGATGGTTAGATAGATAGATAGATAGATAGATAGATAGATAGATAGACAGTAAAAGGTAGATGAAAGGGAATTTATTAGGGTATGTGGCTCATGCAATAGTGGAGGCTGAGAAGTAGCATGATGGGCCATTTGCAAGCTAGAGAACCAAGGAAGCATTTTGCATGGCTCAGTCCAATTTTAAAGGTCTCAGAACCAGCAAAACTGATTGGGTAACACTCAGTCTGAGGCCAAAGGCCCAAAAACCTATTGGGGTGTGTGCGTGTTGTGGGTGCAGGCTGGTGGGGGGCAGAAGGTGTTGAGAGAGAAGGTGGTTGGTGCAGGTCCCAGAGTCCTAAGGTATAAAATCTTGAGTTCTGGTGTCCACGGCCAGAAAAAAGGGTGGTCCAGCTCCAGGAGAGAGAGAACAAATTCCACTTTTCTCTCCCTTTTTTATTCTGTCAGGCTCCCAGCAAATTGAATGGTGCCTGCCCACATTGAAGGGAGTTCTTTCTCACTCAGTCTACCAACTCACACCAATTGCCTCCAAAAACACCCTCACAGACACACTCAGATTTAATGCTTAGCCGGCTCCCTAGGTATCCCGTAATCCAGTCAAACTGATACCTAAAATTAACTATTAGATTATTCTATGTTTGTGAAATAAATGACTAATTCTGCACTGGATAAGTACCGGTTCTAAGTGCAATATTTTCACAATTTTTGTTTTTTTCTTGAAATGGTTACCCAAAATTTTGAAAAACAGAATGGTACATAATACTTTGAGAAGTTGTTGAATCCTATAGGTCTCCTTGAATAATTGATATTGGAAGGCTTTTCCGCATTATACTAGAACAGGGTAGGATTTAGCAAATGATGTGTTAATATCATGCTTAACCCTGAGACTTTGTGACTATCCTAGTGTTATGCCTAGGCCTCCCATTAAAAATGAAAGCAGCCATCTATGTTATCTCATAAGAATAAAAGTGACCGTGAATACCTAATGAAAACTGAAGTAGAAAAAAATAGTACTTAACTATGAATTCCTCTAAAAATTGACTGTGATTAATTTGGGACAGCAAATTAAGTTTTTTCCTATATATCAAATTTTCACATCATATAATGTATAGCCTAAGAAGTCCTCAAATTTTTATTGGTACATCATAAACATGCTCTTTCTATGGTGGTATTATATTAATAGGTGTGGATAGATTCCTTAAATACTAAATTGGATAAGGTAAAATTTTATTTTTCTCTTTAAAGCATAAAAATAGAAATCTTCAAATTGGGTCAGGGAGAAGTAAGGTATCTACCCAACATTCATGTGTTGTTATCTTATTTTCTTAGAAATTTGATACCATATTACTAACCATGAATCCATATAATCATATTTCAATCTAAAAACTTTTTTTTTCCTAGATTTGGTTTGTAAAGATGGGCAAAATATTAACAAA
Source organism: Homo sapiens (assembly GCF_000001405.40). Taxonomy (NCBI): domain Eukaryota; kingdom Metazoa; phylum Chordata; class Mammalia; order Primates; family Hominidae; genus Homo; species Homo sapiens. The sequence continues at coordinate 24,871,447 of NC_000005.10, read as the reverse complement.
ACTGTATTTACTATTTCACTAATTCATATCTGAGTTTAAAATTTGTAACTTTTTTCTCAATTGTACATTCATGTTGATTTCTAAAGTTTCATTTTTGTTTTTTAGTAGTGTGGTGGAAGTATTGCTTACAAATTTTTGTTACATTCAAATTAAATTCCTACACACAATTTCTAGGAGTGAATTAATTTTGGCATTAAGAATGAATACAAACCTTATGAATTTGAATCATGTTCTAAAATGATTGGTCATTACTTAAATTCAAATTTTATTTTTTATATTCTTATTCTTTTTTGCATGTAAGGGATATAAAACCCAAAATTAATTATTGAATTAATTTACTTCTGATTTGTTTTTTCTAATCTTAATCTTATTGACTCCATACACTTTTTCTTTGCATCCTTAAATGCTCTGAAAATTTTTTGCTTATGTACATTTTTTAAACTTTGAATCAGACATGTGCAGACTAAATGTTTGAATCTCATAGAAATGGTTTTATGCTCTTCCTAAAGAGCTCATTAACATTGATGAGTTTACAAGTTATTCAGTAGTTTTCATTTGTTTGTTCATTTGACTCCAAAGCTGTTTGGTTTCTTACTCATTTGTTTAATTCTCTAGGCCCTTGTTTCTTCATTTTGCCTTTTCATTTGTTCAGCGTTGGCCTTTTTTTCATTTAGCAACCCACAACATGCATAAAAAAGTATAGTTGTTCACAGAATATCTAATGTCAGAGCGATTCATTATGTTGACGTTTTATAGTCTTTCCAATTATACCTTATTCTCTGGTTGTCCTAAAGTATCCTATTTATCTTTGTAAGTACTTTCCTTAACTTTATAGAAGCTTTTCCTTGGGAATCCATTTTTAGGCTTTATTAAAATCAGGCATGTATAATACTTCCCATTTTCAAAGTGTTTAGTATTTTTTCTTGCTTATTGCTCATAGCATTTAGCAAAACTGAGAAATGGAAAATGGCTTTCTTTAATATCTCATTGCAAATAAGTTTCAGTATTCTAGTATAAAAATACCTATTTTAGGCAAAGATATTTCTTTCTTGAGGTAAAGTTTTAAAATGTCATACATTTATTTTCTCACTGTCATGGTTTTCTTCCTCCCCCTTGTAATTTTTTTTCCATAAAGATGGGAGTAATATTTATGTTACAAGTTAGAGCAGACTGATTCTTGTTCAGCTCTACAAAAGGGCTCAGTAAATAGTGCTGTCTTCCTTCTTGTGAAAATAGAACAAAGGACTAAGAAATAAAGTATATTTCACAAGAGTCACCAATTATCTCTAAGATGGTGTTTACGACTTTTATATGTGGGCAAGTTCATTTTATAATATTCACCTCCAAAATGGGGCACTCTACACAGCAAAGAATGTGCTTAGTGAATGAGTAATGGGAAAATGCTTTCTCTCAAGTCAGAATTATCCCAACTTCTTTCTCCCTATATCAAAAGGAGTGGGAAAAGGAGCTGAGTGTGGTATTCTCAAAGATGTCAATCACTATCACTCCTACTCCCTCTATTTGGAGTGAATACATTGTCTGAGAGAGGAGAGTTGTGTATTTAGAAAACAGCACTCCTCCTTATGAAACGGGGAGTAGAGAAAAGATGTTGATCAATTAGCATTCCCCGCTCCTAATTCACTTAGACCACTGAGCTTCTGAATTAACCTTATCGTTGAATAGGCCTGTGGTTAATCTGCTTAGGAATGGAGTTTACCAGTAGCAGGGTAGATCTGGGTCGATATTTGTGAGAATCTTTGTCCTACACTCAGCCACTGTACTTCTGTACACCTTCGTGGGACAATGTGGAAAAGCATAGGTATCTGTACCTAAAAGTCTGTGAAACCTGCAAGAACAGTACAGTGATCAAAGGAATTCCAAACCACTGTCTTTCCAAAGCTGAAAATTCACTTGCTATTTACTTTTCTTTCCAGACTACCTCCAGCCGTATTTTCCAAGAAGGCACAGCAAAGGTTCTATGGTAATAAAAACAGCATGATACTCTAAAAACCATATGATCCAATGAGTAAGAAACAGCTAATCCAAATGATAAAAATGCCAGTAAGTCAACATGCTTTATTTAAGTATATATCCTGCCCTAATATCACATGCCACGAAGAAATTAAATTCTAAATGTTAAATCCTTTTTAAAGTTAAATCCCAAAACAGATAAAAGTCCAAAATTAATTTCTTTTGCACATGTGAGTCACCATTCCAAAAAAGGGAAAATCTACAATCCATCCTTCCCACCTTCATGTTTTGCTGGATTTCAGGTCTAGGAGTTCTCCAATACATGGACAAAATTTGGCTTCTTCAACATCAGTGCATGGGGCTTTCACAGAATTATGAATATTTCCGTCAGGGCCTCAGAAAGTATTTTCTTTCTATGTCAGTTTCTGATGTACCTCACTTTTAATGCACCAAAAAAATCAGTCGGTCACAAAATGAGCATTACTACCCTTCACATCTAGCAAGCCACTGAATGTATAGTACCTAATCCAATGATCACAGTCATAATTATGTTGCCAGAAGGTAGCACTTTATATTGCCTTAGGCTTCAGAATAAAATAACCTGAATCTCAGGGGATAAGGGAAAAACAAGAAAATCTTGGTTTTGGTTTATGAAGTTAGAAGTCTATGGAAACACATTGTCTTATATTCACGTTCTGTGGATTTTAAATTCAGTTAGGAGAAATTCCTAGGAAAAAAATAACATTTGTATGATACGTACATACACACTACCTCTGGAAATCATTTCATCTATCCTTAATAATTGCCATTCCTCTTTCAGCCCTATTTTTAACATGCCAGTGCTGAACTGATTGTGAATTCTATAAAGTGACATATCATCCCTTCTATTTTTGAGTAGGATTTAGTCCTGTGCAGCAACCAAATTCTTCAGGACTAAGAAACCTGTCTCCTGGGAAAATCCCCTCTGCCATTTACAGCTAACCATTCAACAGTTACCTTCAGACCATGAGAGATGACATTTCAGCACATGTCGAAACCACCAGAGGACTCAAGGTCAGTCAGTGCCTTTATTTTCCTGCATGGAGAGTCCCTGAATGGGGAACACAGCTCATGACTAGATCTTCTTAGCTAGCCTAACACTAAGATTAACAGCTGGAACTTCAGCAACGTACATGATTACATGCAGAATTCTGCCAACTTGCACTTGAAAAGCAGTTAATATTTTTCAGCCTCCTGACCCCGCTTCTAATGCACATAAGGCTCTCTTTCCTTTAGAGTTACAAGCCTGTCTATGACATGCATGCTTCAGAAAAGTTATGCTTTCTTGCTGAGCTGCAGCAACCTACATTTTGAAGCTGGTCACAACTATAAAAAACCAAACAAAAGAAAACAACACAAAACCAAAAAACCCAGCAACTTCTCCAGATCCATGACTTTGCTTGACCATATCTATTACGAACCAGAAATGAGTGAGGCCACCAATATGGACCCTGAGATCTAATTCCTTCCATAAATTAGCCTGACAATTATAATCTCAACGGCTTGCTACTGTCAGTTGAGGTTGCTTATGTTCTTGTGTTGCTGCTTATGTGCTCTCTTGTGGCCTTTGCAGAGGTCCAGGCTGCCTATGTCTTGTCTTAGATCCTTACCCTCTTGCTATACTTTGAATGTATTTTTCTAAAATTCATTTTGAAGCCTAATTCCCATTGTGGTTTTATTGAGAGTTGAGGCTTTTGGGAGGTGATTAAGTCATGAGGGCAGAGCCCTCATGAGTGGGATTAGTGCCTTTATAAAAGAACTTGAAAGAACCTATCCTTTTTTTTCTACCACGTGAGAAGACAACATGAAAAGGCAGGCCATCTCTGAAGCAGAGAGCAGCCCATAGTAGACACCAAATCCACTGGTGCCTTGATCTTGGACTTCGTAGCCTCCAAAACTGTGAACAATAAATTTCTGTTGTTTATAAGTTGGCAGTTTAAGGTATTGTGTTATGGCAGTCCAAATGAACTAAGATATTGCTGAAGAAAAAGTTATTATTTTATGGACAGAGCCACCATTAACTGCAGCCCTTCAAAGTCAAAATAGCCTATGTGTGGCTTAAAACCTCAATCACAGTCCACAGACATAAAAAAACTAAACCCAGATTCATCTAATTGTACACTTAAAAAAGTAAGTTTTATTTTATGTAAATAACATCTTAATTTTTTTAAATGATGTAGCAAAGCAAACAAGGAGAAATGTATAGAAACAGAAGGCAGATCAATGGTTTCTAGAGACTGAGAGCTGGAGAAAAGAATTAACTATAAAGGGATATGAGAGGACTATTAGGGTGATGGAAATATTATACATCTTGATTAAATTTGCACCTAGGAAATTGCAGATTTTAAAGGGTTCAAGAAACTCTCGATTTAAAAATGAATTTTACTGTATATAAGTTATACATCAATAAACCTGATTTTAAAATAATTTCTTAAAAGCTGAACCACCCCAAGTGTTTGCTAACTCTGAGATCAAAAGAATTTCTGGATACACTAAAGTCTAGGCCCCCACAACACACAACTTGGAACAATGAAAACCTCTCCATGGCAATTTTTGCTCTCCAAAATTCCACTCAATTGTTTTGTTTATCAGTTTCCCCAGTATTTGTACAAAAGGTTAGCATAAAAGGATCTGAATAAACAGAACCTCAATTTTCTAAACTATTTTTAAATAATTTAACAAATAGTGCAAAGCAGTGGCTGCTGAACACTTTTATTAATATGAATTAATAAGAAGATTTAATTTCATTACTAACACTAAAACCCAGAATAAGACAGATTTTTTTGATAATATGTGTGGTTTGAAATTTTTGTGAAAAACTGTGTTTTACACTTCTGTTCACTTTCTTTAGCCATCAGTATAGTTGTCTTTAAAGGTGAGCCTTTTTCTTTTTTTTCTTTTTTTGCTAGACTCCTTACCTTCCTTGAGCTTCTTTCAAATTCTCTGCAACTTTTTCTACCACGTTAGGCTCAGTAATGTGTTTTTATTCCCGCTCACTTCAAGAATCCCTGTCCATTGATTGTGCCTTTTCGTACCCTAGTACTTTATCTTATGACCTGATTTACTGGACGTATGCCTGGAAGTTAGACCCTGCTTGGAGAAGCGTGATACCCTATTTAAATCAGCTGCCTCAAACACAAACTCAAGCATTCAATATCACTCTATCTTCCACAACAACACTTCATTTCTGTTTTAGAGGTAACAAGCAGGTAGAAGTTCCAACTGAAATGCTTCTTTATATATTCATACAACGTATCGTGTGCTTATCTACCTATGTCATTTCATATAATTTACACTTACACTGATATCTTTTTTTTTCAGTTAGGGTTCCATTAGATAAACACAATCACTAGGAAATAGACACATGCGTATCTGGATTTTCTACAGGGATTCAAGGTTCACAGTTGTGGGGATTGTTTAGGCTTGATAAGTAGTCACTCTATGACTGGTGTCTTTGCCTCTGATTCTGCCCCATGAAGTTGACCAAGAGGGTTTTAATGTTTTCTTCAGTTTGACTAATCTTTAGACAGGCTTCTTACTGACTCTAGGCCCCAAACTTTCTTTTTCCCCCTTTATTGAGGTATAATTGACAAATACGAATTAAGTATATTTAAGAAGTACTAAATGTTTGGATATAGGAAACATTGTGAGATAATTACCATAATCAATTAACACATCCATCACCTCAGTTACCATTTCCTTTTTATTTATTCGTAGTAACAATACCCTGTCCCCCCTTTTTTGAACATTTACTTTAGCAAAATTGTAGTCCTGAATACTTTCTCTGCCTCTTAAAGTGTAATTTGTTTTTTTTTTTTTTTTTTTTTTTTTTTTGAGACTGAGTCTCCCTCTGTCACCCAGGCTGCAGTGCAATGGTGCGATCTCAGGTCACTGCAACCTCCGCCTCCCGGGTTCAAGCAATTGCCTGCCTCGGCCTCCTGAATAGCTGGGATTGCAGGTGCCTGCCACCACGCCAGGCTAATTTTTGTATTTTTAGTAGAGACACAGTTTCACCGTGTTGGCCAGGCTGATCTCAAACTCCTGACCTCAGGTGATCTGCCTACCTCGGCCTCCCAAAGTGCTAGGATTACGGGCATGAGCCACCATGCCTAGCCAAAGTGTAAATTGTTAAAGAGCCTCTTTCTAGACTTACAAACCAGTGAGGTCTTTCACAGGAATCTGTGAACCATCTCTTTGAAAGTTAATTATCAAGGAAAATAGTGCCCCTGTCGCCCAGGTTCTGTGGGAGGGTAGAAACCTACCTTTGCTCTGTGCCTTGTCCCAGGTTGTAATATTACCTCCTGTACTGAAAAGAGAAGAAAGTTTACTTTTCCATTGGATAAAGCCTGTTAACAAGCACAGATGGCCCACAATCTCCTGTTTCCTCCAGTTGTTGCCTTGAATGAAGTCTTCCTTTCCTGTTTATCTGTCCAGTGTAATTTTTGCTTTGACAGAGTCCACAGGAGAGGCTGTTAGTAAGCAGAGATAAGATGTAAAGGAGACAACAAAGTGAAGCTGGGACCCATCAGCATGAGCCAGAACCCATAAGGATGGACTCTTGCCTACACGTGGGCTATACCTGGGTGGTGTGGATGTCCTGGAGAAACCAGGTCCTTCACAGCAGAGAAAAATACATACCCTACCAAGAGATTACAGAAATTGTTTTGTATTGTTGGCTAGCCTAAAAGAGGCAAAGAAAGGAATTCTATTAAATATAGTGTAAACCAAAAATAAAATTCTAAGACCCCAACTGATTGATTGGACCCCCGGCCCCCAGGCCAAGGGCATTCCAAACTAAAGCTGAAACACTAGTTCAGGCCATGATAGGAAGTGGGGGTTGAACATGTCTCATTATACTGTCCTTCCTTTGGAATTCAGGCAAATATGACAGTCATCAACATTAAAACAGAGATTCTAAGACTGACCAAACTGACTCTTAGGGCAATAGGTTGGTGCAAAAGTAATTTCGGTTTTTGCCACTGAAAATGATTGCAAAAACCGCAATTACTTTTGCACCAACATAATAGCAATAAAATATGTCACAAAATGACAGATCTCAGACTCTGAAATAAATTGAACTATTTTATCCTGAAACTAACTTCTTTGATGTATTTTTAAATGCCCCTGCAACGCTGTCTCTTGCGGTGGAAATCTACATTCAGTAGAGAATCCCCTTCCTATTTCCAGGTCTTTTTCTGATTCAGGAGAGGCTAACAAGAGTCTTGCACATTTTTAAGTCAGATAGGAAACACTTACCATCTATTTTCTCTGAAACTTGCTACATGGAAGCTTCATCTGCATAACAAGAGCCTTGGTCTCCACAACTTTTTATCTTAAACCAGACATTTATTTCTATTGATTCCAGGTCTTTAGATAATAACTTAACTCTTTCGACAATTGCCAATCAGAAAATCTTTGAATCCACCTATTACCTGGAAGCCCCTGCCACCAATCCTCCACTTCCTGAACCAAACCATTGTACAGCTTACATGTATTGATTGATGTCTGTGTATAACTTCTGTCCTCCTAAAATGCATAAAATCAAGCTATAACCCAACCAACTTGGGCACATGTTCTCAGGACCTCCTGAGGCTGTGTCACCGGCATGTCTTTAAAAAATAAATGTCTATATTGATTGAGACTTTTCTCAGATACGTTTGGGTTTACAATAGTTTCCCAGATGACATGCTGCAAAGCTACCAGACCTTCTCCATTGCTCTTTATCGGAAATAAAAACAACCATTCTTCAAGCCTCATTTCTAATGCAACAATTCCTATTATCAGCTCTTCTCTGACCCCCAACAGCAATTTTTAATTGCTATGCAAGATTGTTTATTAGAATATAGTTGATTATACCTTACCTTGTCCTCCTTTAATACTTCCTTCACACATTTAACAGACAGCTTATCAAAATATGTTCCAGAAAATTTTATAAACAACTGTATTTGTCAAATTATACAGAGAATTTTCTACTGACTTTTGTATATTTATTGCAAAAATTGTGCTTAAAAGAGACAAACATGGCTAAATTTTGTTGGATAATATAAATAAAAACATACGTATAAAGTGAATTAAGAGCAAGGTTATTAATTACTCTTCTATTCCAACATATGTCTACTTGTACTATTTTTTAATAAGTGTCATATATATATATATATATATATATATATATATATATATATATATATATTTTAGAACAGAAATTCAAACCCGAAACTAATATGTTGCCTGTGTCCTAGGTCAGTACCTCTCCTGCCTCTATCAGGCTGATACAATAGCAATTATATATTTCTTTTTTTTTTTTTTTTGAGATGGAGTCTTGCACTGTTGCCCAGGCTGGAGTGCAGTGGCAAGATCTCGGCTTACTGCAATCTCCACCTCCCATGCTCAAGCTATCCTCCTGCCTCAGCCTCCCAATTAGCTGGGGTTACAGGCGCCTGCCACCACACCCAGCTAATTTTTTGTATTTTTAGTAGAGACGGGGTTTCACTGTGTTGGCCAGGCTGGTCTCAAACTCCTGACCTCATGATCCGCCTGCCTCGGCCTCCCAAGGTGATGGGATTACAGGCGTGAGCCACCACAACTGGCTGCAGTTATATATTTCCAAGCTGCATTTGCTTTTTTCTATACTAACTCCCCATTCTGGACTGTTTCAAGTTCCTTTCATCTTAAAGTTTCAGTGATGCTAGATGAAGATGTTCTAGAGATCTTCTCCACAACATAGTGTCTGTAGTAAACAACACTGAATTGTACATTCCAAAATGTATTAGAAGATAAGTCTCACTTTAAGTACTCTTACCACACATTAAAAACAAACAAATAAACAAAAACAAAACAGTGAGACACAAGGAAAGTTTTGGAGGTGTTGGATATGTCTATTACCTTGATTGTGGTAATGGTATAATCAGTATTTGCATATTTCCAAATTCATCAAATTATGCACATTAAATATACGTGGTGATTCATTCTTTCAGAAAAAGTACATAAGTGGTAAACTCTTTGGATTTTAGTACCTAGAAACACTTTTATTTTATGATTGATTTACTCCTTATAGCTTTATTGAGTATGAGATTTCAGTTGAATAATTTTTCACCATCATGAAGATGTAATTCCATTACCTACTGACGTCATTTGTTTATAATGATGACTTTGCTACCAGTATAATATTCATACATTGTTAGATTATTTATCACATATCTCTGCAAAATCTTAAGATGTCTGACATCCTGCAGTTTAACTAACTTTCTATGTATACAAGATAGTAAGCTTTACTACGTCAACCCAGATAAGCTGGAACTACATTTTCCAGAACCCCCTTACCTTTGTCGTAACAAGTGAGATTAGTTACAAGACAAATTTCCATGGGATTTGGAAAGCAGTAAGGAAAGAATCTTTTCTTTTCTTTTTTCTTTTTCCTTCAATTTTTTTGTATTAAAGTTATGTTAGGGCACTAGGCTCTGTGTAGTTACATATCTGCCAGTTCACCTGTTTGGCCTGAGCAGCACCCAGGCCATGAGTAGCTCCTGAATCTCCCCATGGTTTGGGTCAAATGTTCATGTATGTGAAGTTCCATGGGAAAGAATGCCAGACTTTCCTATGGTCAGCTGCATCATTATGGCTGGAGATAGTAAAAGGCAGATATGGAATATGGCTTACCTTCATAGGATATAGTTTATCCAGTTTTTTTCTTGCTTTTTCACAACTGAGTTCCAGATTCTTTTCTTGACCCCTGTCCTAGCTGGTCTATAGCAATAGGCCCAAACTATATGCAAAAGCATGAATTGCATACGTTTCTTAACTAGCTTCCATATGATGTATATTCTAATGTCTACAATAGATCTCTTAATCTGTATCACTCAATGAGAGTCTTATTGTTTGATAGATTTCTTGTTTTTTTAATTTATGGGTTCAGTAACTCATGCATTTACAATATTTTGTATTTGATGCCTTCTTCAGTTGTTAGGTGTCAAATATTTATTCAGTTCTGAAATATTTTTCAGTCATCATTTCATAAAACATTTCTTTCAAATATTCCATCTATTTATAGATTCATCTCAATTTCCTATCATGTGACTTTGTCATTTCTTCTCCATGCCTGTTTTGCCTGTTACTACTAGTTTCTTCAAATATTTATCTTTATTGCTTTGGACAACATTATGATATAATTTCTCAAAACCATCTTTCAATAAATTAATTCACCTCCCTTCTGTTTTCAAATTAGATGGCATCTCGTATATTAAGCTTAGTTTTCTATATATTTATTTTTGATTCCAGATTATTTTAGTTGTTTTCCTTCTTTTAAAATTGATTTTATCATATCATTTCTTCCTTTTGGTTCATAATCCTTAATTGTTCTCAGTATTCACAGTGTTATGAGTTTGAAGGTCTTCAATGGACTTATTTAAAAGTCTTTTAGAATGCTTTATTTTTATTTCATTAAGACTTAATCATTTGTGTTCTTTTAAGTGCTCTTTTAGCATGCATTGTTTTAAAATGTGTTGAATTTTTTCATTGTATTCATCTTCATTAGAATTTTTATTTATTTATTTTTAATCTCTGCCTTTATATTCATTCTGTCTAGTGTTTTTCTATCTAAGACTATGAAATTACAAGTTGGCATTATATTTTTGGCTCTGCCTTTTTATCCCAGCAAATTATTAAGATATTTCCTATTTAACTCTTAGGCACTGAATAAGATGGCACCCTAGCCCACTTCTTTGCAATGAGTTTCTGCCCATTTTCTCTCATCTACCTAGTTATGGACATTTACCCATCCACAGTTGTAGGCAGTAGACAGAGGATATATTTTTTGAGCTGCATTCTAGGGTACATTGTCCTTTTTTATTTTGAAACTGAGTTTTGCTCCTGTCACCCAGGCTGGAGTGCAATGGCCTGATCTCAGCTCACTGCAACCCCTTCTCAGGGGTTCAAACGATTCTCCTGCCTCAACCTTCCGAGTAGCTGGGATTACAGGCAACTGCCACCATGCCCGGCTAATTTTTGTATTTTTAGTAGAGATGGGGTTTCACCATGTTGGCCGGGCTGGTGTCGAACTCCTGACCTCAGGTGATCCACCCACCTCAACCTCCCAAAATGCTGTGATGGGTTTACAGGCATGAGCCACTTCTCCTGGCCACATTGTGCTCTTCTTTGATATCAAACCATTCGTCTGCTTGTAGTCCAAAGGCTCACTTATGGTAGTTTCCTTACAACCTGCAGAAGCTAAGACTTTGACTGCCTTGCTTAGACAGTCTCTCTTCAGATTGTTTTGTTATTGTTTCAGGACTATATTAGTGTATGATTTAAATTTAAGAAAGTTTATTTAAATGTCTTTGCTAATATTTTATTTATTACAGGTTCATATATGGTGCAAAAGGGACTTGAATCATGAAGTTACAATTCCATTATGAATAGATTAAAAGCCACACAGAACCTCTATAAGAGGGTTGAAAACTTTTTCCATAAAAGGTCAGATTAGTAAAGGTTCTCGGCTTTACAGGTCATATACACTCTATGTCACATATTCTTCTTTTTCCCCCGAAATGGCTTAAAACATAAAAGGCATTCTTGGCTTACAGACTGTACAACAGGTAAGAGGAAAATTTTTATGCCACTAAGTGGTTAAATGTAGGACTGGTTGGGTTGAGATGCTGTGTTCAAATAGAAAACCAGTGTATGTTTTAATTTTTAACTGAAAAGACCAGGGTTACGTTATGTGTCTTCCTAGTTGTTCTAATTTATGTATCTTCATTTTATTTTTTACTTAATGATAATTTATAGACTAGTCAATCATTTTATTTTTTCAGGAAATGTTAGAGACCAAACTGGGTATCAAAGTAATCGGGCAATTCTTAGCGTACCTGGACCTATAAGAGTACAATAAGATAACTGTTTTAAATCAAGTCAACTAAGGCTACTATGTAATACCAACAAACAACAAAGGATTGAGCAAATTCATGCTGAGAGGAAGTCAGTTTGAGAGGACTCTTCTAAAAAAGATAAGTATTCATCACTTAACGTAAAAGCGCCTCTAAAGGAAAAGGTGCCTTGTTTGAGGTCTGTTCAAGAATAAGAAAACTTATTGTAAGTACTTAAGGTTAAGGCTTTCTTTGCCGTTTCTCTCAAGAAATAGCAGCAAAATCAACATCATCAGCAACTCTCTGAGTATGAAAGTATTTCTGGCAAAAGGCATTAAGCTATATGATATGTAATTTGCAAACTATAAAGCACAGATAAAAGGTTGCCTTTGCTGACTTGTTTCGTTATCTCTTTCAGAGCATGCAATGTGCAAGAGACTAGATTGGGGAGGTGGCAGGAAGTTATTTTATTCAAAATATTGAAATTCCATCATAGCAAAAATAATTTTAATTATTTAAACCAGCATATTTTCTGTTCCTCCTGAAGGGATGTTAAGTAAAATGAGAAACTCTGTTAGAAAAATTGAAAAATAGAAATATCTAATTTATAAAGCTAGATATGCAAAAGTTCTGTAAATATAAAAAATAGTCATGATATCATCTAAAATTTTTAATTTTCCAAATATATTATGAGACAAATTTTTAGCAAATCTACAATAATAATTGATAATTACTAATGATCAAAAATGACTATTCTTAGAGAACTTAATACTTCTACAGATATTGTTAGAAGTATGAATCAATGCATCTTTTCTCCAGAGAAATTTTGAAAAATTTATCGAGAATGTTTAAAGGAGCTTCAAGTTTTAAAAATATAATTTCACTTCTAGGTATATATTCTTTGGATATAATCTGCAATACAAAATGTAGACAACAATTTATATGAAGAATATTCATTACAAAGTTGCATATACTAGCCAAATGGAATTAAAAGAAATATCTCACTAACATAAATCTTAATGAGATGTAATAATCTCACATATTAGAAAGGCTTTACTTTGCAGAAATGAAACTTACAGTCATCTCTGGAAGCCATAAATGTAGTAATCTCTACTACATGAATATTTCAAATGCGACTTGACATTTGAAGAGATATCAATGGGTAAAGACAGACATTGGTTCTGTTTTGGTGTTTGTTTATAAAATGTTGTACTTTTAGATGTGTGTCACAAAACTATATAGAATTTCTTGAAATGAACATTGTTGCCTGTAACTGCTTTCTTTTATATTATTGGTGCATGCAGTTGAGAGTTAGCTATAGAGATGGTTATCTTTACTTAAAATGAAAAGGTGAAGTAACATGCAAATTGTAACCCCAAAATACAGTTTAGAAAACACAAATAATTTACTTTAATAATGTTACTTCACATCTGCCCTTATGATTTGTCTATTTATCACTATATTAATAGTAAATTTTTTTATTATGTAAAGAAAGTATTTTTTTGTGGTTGTTGTTTTGTTTGGATACAGAGTATTGCTCTGCCACCCAAGCTGGAGTGCAGTGGTGCGATCTCGATCTCAGCTGACTGCAATCTCCACCTTCCAGGTTCAAACGATTCTCCTGCCTCAGCCTCCAGAGTAGCTGGGATTACAGGCACTCACCACCACACCCGGCTAATTTCTGTTATTTAGTAGACACTAAATAACGTGGTTTCACCATGTTGGCAAAGCTGGTCTTGAACTCCTGACTTCAGGTGATCTGCCCACCTCGGCCTCCCAAAGTGCTGTGATTAAAGGTTTGAGCCACCACAGCGGGCTGGAAAGCATTCTTTATTGGCCAAGGCATTGACTCTCCAACAACATGTGGTGCTATTTTTTATTTTACAAATACATTTTCAGTAGATGTAGCAAATTTATGTACACATAAAATATAAAGGACAAGTAAATAATCTAGATCCATTAAGCTTCAAAATTAATAAAAATCTGTATGCTTTTGTTAAAAAATAATTAATTTTTAGATAATATTCTTTACGTTCCTTACAACTTTGGATAGATAAATATAATGAACACCTTCACAAATTTTTGTTTAAGTTATACACCAAAAATAGTATTATTTTACCTTCTGCTGTATATAAAATATTTGCTGTAATTCACATTCTGAACACATATAAATGAAGTAAAGCAACATTCATTCTTGATGGAAATATAATAAAAAGTGGACAGGAAACAAATATATATGTGTAATCATATGTATACACACATATATATGTAGTAAACAGATATTAAATAAATGACAGAGAGTGGACTGTTGATAACAGAACAATAAGAAGGCTTATCCATATATCCTTTCTTTCATGGTATTCAGAATTGTTTTAACAATACAATATAAATAGTATAGTTGAAGATAGAAAAGTAGAAATGATGACCAGGTGTGGTGGCTCATGCCTGTAATCCCAGCACTTTGTGGGGGCTGAGGCAGGCAGATCGCCTGAGGTCAGGAGTTTGAGGACAGCCTGGGCAACATGGCGAAAACCTGTCTCTACTAAAAGTACAAAAATTAGCCAGGCGTGGTGGTGGGTGCCTGTAATCCCAGCCACTCAGGAGCCTGAGGCAGGAGAATAGCTTGAACCCGGGAGGTGGAGGTTGTGGTGAGCTGAGATCGTGCCACTGCACTCCAGCGTGGGTGACAAGAGCGAGACTCTGTCTTAAAAAAAAAGAAATGGATATGGTTTCCCACTAATAAATATAAAGTCTAGTAAGAAAAAGAAAAAGCTGATAAACATAAATGTAATACTTTTTGAACAGCAAGTTATGTATATATAAATATATGCACATATATAAACATATATACAAATATGTTTATATATGTGCATTTATTTATAGTTATATAAAAATGTTATAAGTATTTGTATATGTAAATGTATAAACATCTTGCTTCCAGAACCTACACACACACACACACACACACACTGTATAAACATCTTGCTTTCAGAACCTATACACACACACACACACACACACACACACACACACACACACACAGGTTATATATAAATTGGTTCCTGAATGATAGATTTTAAGCACGTAATATTAGGATAAAGAACATTTTAGACAATGGTGTAAATGCTTTTATAGGGCATAAAGAAATGTAGTTTGAATAGAAAATGCTTGAAGAATAGTGTGTAAGAGAAATGGTGTATGATCATAAAGGACAAAACCCCAAGGCTGTGGTGAATACATATCCTCACAGGGCAGTAGAGAATCGACTTGGTTACTGTGTAAATAAATGCCAGTATCTTTGTAATGCCATGCTGGGCATTAGGGATAGGAACCTGTCAAACATATCTAAATTTGACAAATGATTACAAATCCATTTACTAGTTAAGAACAAGCAAATAAGAAAAGAGAATCAGGACTTCCTTTTCTATATAGGCGATAGACAATATAAGAGATGATTGCTCTAATTCTAATCACCAATCCAAGTGTAGTAAATTATGAAACGATGTTTTTGTTAAATGTGTCAAAGAAAGGTGTGAAAAACCACAAATAAACTGAACTCTAGCCAGGGACAAATTTTTCATAGGAAAAAGGAGGCTTCTTTCCTGGTAGAGTTGTGGGAGGGGGAGTTAACTATATTTGGTGATACAAAAAAACTAGCCACACCATTTACAAACATGTAATGATGACATGTGTGCTGGCTGCATATGAACTAGTGGGATAGATTAAATTTCTGAGATGTTTCATCAATGTAGTGAATATTCACTTACCCATCTACTCTTTCCTATGGAACTTCACTAACAACATAGGATATAGGCCAGTGAGTGGGTGGCGGGGGTGGGGCACATCAGGACACTTGAGAGATAACTATTCAAGGCACTTCCGGTTTTTAGTAACCGAAGGCTGAAGAATGGAGAGCTGAGAGAAGTGCCTTCTACGCATTCCAGGCTTTCTGCTCTCTAAGGCAGGAGAGAGGGTAGGAAAGCTTAGAGAAATTCTTCTGATACCTTCTGGGTACTCACAGAGATACTGGGTACTCACACATAATCTTGAAAAATTAGGGGCAGGGCAATAGGGTGCAGAGACATTTCCTAAGGCTCTTAGGAAAGCTGATGACAAGACTAGAGTAAAAAGAGAACTCACCTGAGTTTCAAAAATGTATCGGTTGGGTTGCAATGAGAAAGTTACCATATCACACATATATGTTCTCAGTATAAAGGAATAATTTGGCTCTTTTCTTTTCTCTTCTTTAGTCCCTTCTCTTTCCTTCCCACCCTAAACAACTCCATTCTAAAGCTAGTAGATAGGACTAAGTCAAGTGTGAAGAAAGGCCACAGCAGCCCAGAGCTAGGTGTTGAGACCCATGGATGTTGATAAGAATGCCCATGTAGAAGTGATTCCCTGGAATAGGAGCTAGAGGCTGAGGCAGGCTGTGGTGATCAGTTCAGTGAGGTAAATCAGAGACTGACATAGAAAAGGGAGACATCTGGGTAGGAATCCTTCAAATACTTTGAAATGGGAAACCCAATTGCTCAATCCAGGCCAAAACATCATATTGCATAATCCCTGAGGATAAAACTGAGAGAATCAAGTAGCTTTCTTCTTAAGGCAATGTATGTATATGTAGGCTGTTCTCCCATGTCTTTTTCATTGCTGCAAGTACAGCAAGAATTATTAGCAACTGCGTACATACTACCATCACTACCAACAAGTATCTAGAGGAATGCATTGTCCATCATTACTTGTGCCCATGACTTGAGACTGATTTGTATTCCATTTAAGGCAGAGGTAGTGTCATTAATAATTTCTGCCAGAGTTAGTGACAAGTTTCTTGCAGTCTTCTGTCCTTGGGACATGTCTCTGATTATTAGTATGTATAAACAATAAGTCAATAACTCCTCCAGGTAGAATGTCTGATTAATCAAGAGTAGGCTTGTTTTTGAGCTCATATCTGAGTCAGAATTTCCAGTCTTGCTGATTTATAGAATATGTGACTCTGTGTAGAGAAAATTCTAAAACTTCTAAAGTGCATGAGGTGTTATTCCTAAAGTGCCTGAGGTGTATGAGGTCCTGTTGCAAGCAGGATGCATCATCCTGCTTGCCAAGGAAGTAGTATCTGGTATGAGCACATGGAGATCCAGGAACAAAAGGAGTTGTTCTTTACACAAGGTTGGCTCCAAGGCCTTGCATTAGGAAGGTTAAATATTTTATTAATTTTTTCCAGGTGGTAAGTAATTTGTCCATCATCCTCAGAAGATTGTTGAGTTCAAGTATAGAATTTATTGGTGCCTGATCAATAGATTGCAATGATTTATATTTTTCCTAGGAGACAAGACACTAGAAATGTCAGGGATTAATTTGTTTGAGGTCATTTGTTCATGGAGGTGCAAGTGGAAACACCATTGGTTGTAATTCCCTATGGTTTTGTTTGATGGAATTGGAATTGTCCACAAGTTTCCATTATGAAGTTATATGTATGCACAGCATGTCCAGAAGTCAATAAGATTAAGGGCAATGACTGGTCTTTGGTATAACCTAAGAATGGCTTTAGAATGAGTATTTTCTGACCTAATGATAATAATAAAGAGAAAAGAAAACAAAAAGGTGGCCTTTTTGAATGGACAAATGGACCAGGGTGTACAGAATTTTTTAAAAACAAAAGAAGAGTGGTCATAAGCAAGCAATGAAAAACAAAACAGGAATTGGACAGGGATCTTGGTCTGATATCTGGATTTGAACCTGCTCACCACTGAAGGTTTTCAGCTTACTCCAATGGTCTCAGGTCAGCTATCTACCTCCAAAGATTGGTGGCTTCTACATGATCCCTGTGAATCCTCAATTTGAGGTCAACTTTTGGATTGATATCCTAATTGCGTGGAATTCTGAATTCTAGTTTAGTTGTGAAACATGAAAGGGTCCTCAAAGGTTCACTGCCATATCCATCAATAATACCTGATAAAGTCTCTTCCACTAAGATTCAAAAATAGTTTTCTTCTATTGCCTCTTCCAACAGATAAAATCTTCTCACTGAAGATCATAATTAGGTTATTTAACGTATTAGTCCATTCTTGCAATGCTACAAAGAAGTACCTGAGACTGTGTAATTTATAAAGAAAAGAGGTTTAATTGGCTCATGGTTCTGCAGGCTGTACAGAAAGCATAGTGGTTTCTGCTTCTGGGGAGGTCTCAGGAAACTTACAATCATGGTAGAAGGCAAAAGAGAAGCAGACACGTCTTACATGGCCAGAGTAGGAGGAAGAGAAAGAGATGGGAGAGGTGCTACACACTTTTAAATAACCAAATCTTGT